>NC_000006.12:163101093-163252608 GCF_000001405.40 Homo sapiens
ATTCTCCATTCAGTGACTTTTAATTTAGATTTTGCATACCAATTACAACTCTGCCTCTGCCCCCGCCCCCCAAAAAACCCTACATTTCATCTTAAGTTCATTTCTTGAAAGTATCTTTGTCACAAACTAAAAAACTAATGATACAATACTGGAATTTAAAAAACAAGATGTAATTGGGCCATAATGACAGGATTATTGCCTGGTAATTTTCCCACTATTTTAAGCTTTGTGTTTGACCTGCATGCTAGTTGGATATTTATTTGTGTACATCGGGTTTTGAGGAGTTCATAGTTTTTCTAACAGAAATCACTGAATGTTACATATGTTTGTATGAGTCTTTATTTATTATAAATATGATAAACAATCACCTAACCAAATGTCTTAGATGTTGTTCTTTCTGGAAGCATATTTTGTCCTTCCAAAGTTTCTTACAAGCTGTGAGTGTAGGATAATGATATTCAAAGAGAATCAGTACCTTTTCTATTTTTTTGATGACCAACTAAAATTTCTAGAAGAATTTCTGTTAGGACCATAGACAACCATGGAGTGAGGAGAAGGAGTGTGATGTCGGGCCTGTAAAAACCTGCTTAAAAAACAACCCACACATTCACCTTTCTTCGTGTACCTGCTGAGCTAGCCACTGGCGGTGTGGAACATGAGGCCTTCCTGCTCTCACCGTAAGCCTGGTTGCGCTGCCTACACAAAGACTAATGCACCAGGCTACCTCCAAAAGCATTAGAGAGCAATGTGGTTTTTATGAAAGTCTTTTTTCGGGGGGAATGCCAAAGAGAGAACCACATAATACATCCTTCACTGATTCATTTAAACAAAACAAAACAAAAAAAGTTGAGTGCTTACTATGTGCCAGCGCAGCAAAGCTTCCTAAAAAATCCTTTAAAAACAGACACTATGCGGCCACACAGTCATTTTCAATTTACCAAATCCCTCAAAGACTTCCCCAGAGCCTCGCCCGGTGAACCTGAATCAATGTGTACAGCCACGGAAGGCCTGAGGGGTGAAGGAGGTTTTCACTACCGTCGGGAAACAAGCAGGTCTAGAAAAGGATGGGAACCTTGCCACACATGGACACCATCCTGCAAACTTTATGTTCCTTCTAACCATATATCCTTACCTTCTACTCCTCTCTTTAATAACCTGACTCTGAGGTCAGGGTACAGTTTGGAACAGTAAAATCCAGCACTGATGGCAGACTTATTGAGGTTGCTAAATGGCAAAAAGAGTGCTGTTTAGGCTTAATGCTCTCTCTTAGCTAATGAAACAGTGAAGAACTGCAATCCAATCTCAGATTTTCCACCATCAACATAACCCTCCTGCAGAAGAGTAGGAATGTCAGCTTCATCAGTGCTACTAACATGCTTTGCATCCTGGGAAGATCCCAAGGAGAGTCTCCCTCTCTGGGCTACCTCCAAATACTGTCCATCAGGTCTCTCCTGAAATTTCTAAGAGTATTTTTTTTCCAAATCTTTGCTAGGAGCTGCAATGTATATGATTTTTGCTAAATCTTTGCTAAGGACCACGTGATGATATGTATATCTTGCTTATAAACCCAACCAAAGCGCATTAGAGACCATTTGTCCTGAAGCTACCTACCAACTAGATTTGCGAGTCCACCCAAATGTGTATGACATATGGTCAGGGAGGATGATACATCACCTGTTGCATTTCCCATCATGAGGACTGCCTAATAGGTCTAGTCTTGTTCTAATCTTAATAGTCCTGTGAGATCCAACAGCAATGAGCTGAAAGCTAGGGTTTGTTTGTTTGTTTGTTGTTTGTTTTAATGTAGGTATTGTTACTAAATGTAAATTCCATGAAGGCAGGGACTTTTGTCTTTTTTTTCACTGCTTTATCAACAGCTCAGCAATTGTTCTTAGCACTTCCTGAGATTAATAAATATTTGCTGAATGGGTGGATGGAGGGAGAGTGTATTGGTTTTCTATTGTCACAAATTTAGCCGCTTAGGACAACACCCACATATTATCTCACAGTTCTGCAGATCAGAAATCCAGCAGACTCAGCTATGTAATATGATTAGAATCTAATAAGGGGATCAAAGTGTCAGTTGCCCTGTGTTCCCTGTAGAGCTTCTGAGGAAGAATCCACTTCTAGGCTCATCCCAGGTGTTGATAGAAATCAGTTCTAATGGTTGCAGGACTGAGGTCTCCATTTCCTGGCTGGTTGGCAGCAGTGGGGAGCTCTCAACTGCTAGAGGCGGCCCACATTCCCTGGCCCATGACCATCTCATCTTCAAAGCCAGCAATGGAGGGTTTCCTATCACTCGGCCTCCCCTTCTGCCGCATCTCATCTGCCTTCCTTTTCTGCTTTCAAGGGCTCGTGTGATTCCCACCCAGATAAAGAAGAGTATTGCTCAAGTAGAGTGTTAACTAATCTAACTTTGTTCCACTTTTTTTTTGTTACAAGGCATGGAACTATGTGGAATAATCCCTTGTTTTAAGGTCAGCAGATTAGTAACCTTAATTCTGTTTGCAAAGTCCTTTCACAACAATACCTTGATTCATGTTTGACTGAATAACAAGGGGACGGAAATATTGGAGGAACATCTGTAGAATTGAGGTTTTGGAATGAAGTCATCAAAAAATTGATGCCTGGATGACCATGACTGGGAGCTTGAAGTACATGTTCAAGAGGATACAAAATTAACTGCCAACATTTAGTGAAGGTAGCGCAGCTCGACACTGTATTATTTTTGGAATTGTTATTCTTACTTTACAGATGAAAAAGCTGAGCATTGGATCAAATGACTTGCCCAAGGTCACAGGGCAGGAATGAACCAAAGCCAGCACCCAAGAAATAAGCAGGTCCTCCTTCCAAACCTGAGTGGCAGGTACTCTGGAAGTGTAAATTGGATTGCCAGAAATAGCATTTCTAAGGTAATTCTGATCAAAAGATTTCTTTTATTTAAGGTACTGAAGTAAATGGAAGTTTCATTGATCCGATTTAACAACTATTATATGCTGGTAGATCAAAGTAGCTGTTGCTGATCTTCACAAATTCTTATGCATTATGAAGCAAAAATGTTTTCATATCATCAATTTCTATTGTGGAGTAGTGTTCAATAATATCTTGAGAAAAACTCTAAACACAGAAAACTATCAGCAAGTTCACCTAATTAAAAACATCAAACAGAATCTTCTAACTTTGTTCCACTTTTTGTGTTAGAAGGCATGTAACCACATGGTGTGCATTCAATTTTTTTTTAATCCCAGCCAAATTCCTTCTCAGAGTTATGGATAAAATCTGTGTATGTAGCTGTCTTCGTCCATTTTTGTGTTGCTATAACAGAATAGCTCAGACTGGGTAATTTATTTTTAAAAAGAAGTTTATTTGGCTCATGATTCTGGAGGCAGGGAAGTCCAAGATTGCACAGACCATTTGATGAGGGTCTTGTGCTGCTTCAACTTCAAGTTGAAAAGGATGTAGGCAGGTGCAAAGAGACCAGAGTCTCTGTGGGTCTCATGGGGAAAAATAGTAACTCGCATGTGATTCATTTGTACAAATTTTAGTAAGATATAGAGCAAGCTTACACCTTACTCTTTTAGGCAATTTAATTTACACAATGTTTTCATTTCTAAATGTAATCCTTTGGTAAAAGACCATTTGTTTTAGGTGCAATTGTTCACAATCTCTTTTGCTAACAAATCACATAGTTCTCCCAACAATTCTCCCAAATATAATAGGTAAACACATTAAAAATTGCTCTTGCCATGTATACTTCAATTACCTTGCCAAATTGATATTTCAAGTTAAACACGGTTGTATATTATACAGAGAAGAGTGTTCTCCTAGTCTTAACAATAACTCATTGAACAAGTACTCTTATACTATTTATGAAGTAATTCAAAATAAGGCACTAATCTACATTTACTAGTACATTATGGAGAAGTACTTCTATGACCCTATTCCTGAAAATCAGCCTACATTTTCTTAGAAATTTCTACCTACTTTTACTAGAAATTTATTGCACTAGTAAGTTTTTCTTGATTTCCCATATTAAAAAAAAATAATTCATTGCAAATAAAACCTTTCCTGAGTAATAATCACTTGGCATGTAAATGATTTTAGTATTAATATAATTCTCTCTAAATAAATAACTTCCAGGCCCAATGCATAATGTACCAAGCACACCTATTAAAATGATAGTTTTGTAATGTGAGAATTTCCATTATAAAAACCTGCGAGACACAATCTAGCACATTTAAAGAATGATCACTTTTAGATTGTAACTGGAAGATAAATTCTAATTACTATTTAATTTCTTGGTTGAACATCTTTGGCATGTACAACATAAAATTGACTCTGAAATTATGCAGTTAATATTATCAGCACTTAGCTATTCCATTTGAAGCTGCAAAGGTTTAATTTGCTTGGCTCAAAGAAATATTCAACCAGAAAAAAAACTGCTTAAAGTTTGGGAAATTTAAAAAGTGGCTATCGATATAGTTAACTAATCTATAATAAGCTATGTTCAGTGAAATGGCTCAACATTGGGTCATTGAAAAAAATGGTACATTCTTTAGAAAGTATGCTATTTGAGGTGTTCTAGACCAGGAAGATAAACATGTTTTTAGAATTCTATTATCAAAGCTATGGGTTAATATCCAACATTGTGACGTGATCCTGTGACTTTAGTCAAATCAGTCATGGAAAGTTAGAAATCTCCTCCCTTAAACATTGATGCATTCTTAGAATTGCTTCTTGCCTAAACTATGTTTTTCAAAAATGTAAATCTCAGAGAGTTGTTCTTCCAGTCACATTGCTGGAGTAGAGATTTATAATTTTTAAAATTTTTAATGAGATTATTGACTTGTTAATTTGTAGATTATTGACTTATTAATTTGTTTCAAGTTCTTTTGTGTTAACTGTCTTAAAAATGGCTAACAGTTATTTAGTGCTTTTTATAGGCTAGATTCTGGATTAAGCTGTTTTCATGAATCATCTCATTTAATCCTCACAAACCCAGGAGGAAGAAAGTATCCTTCCTCTAATTTAACAGATGAGAAAATGAATGCAGAGAGATAAAGTAATTTTCAAACTGTCAATCAGTTAGTAAAAGGGAACTTATAGGATTATTCAAATGGAAAGAGAGATAAAAAGTGATAACTTGTACAGTTTTCTCCATCCATAAATACTGAGTGCTTCAACTGCACCTAATGGGGTATTTAATTACACTGTTATAGACAAATCATTCAGCTATATTGGTTTAATCTTCCAGTGTTTAAACTAGCAGTAATAAACTAATAACATTCCTAAACTTCCAGTTTCTTCCAAAGTTATTTTTATTCATGTTACTAAATTAAAAAAAGTAGTGTTCAATACTAATTATTTACTGTGATCTGTTTTTTAAAACATCTGAGTGGCATTATTCTTGGATGAAAAGTAAATCCAAATTCAGCCTTTATGTAATAGTATGACATTTTTACTTTTGGAGTTTATAACAGAGTTTAATAAATGTATAACATGAGCAATAATCAAGATTTTTATTGCATATGTTTATTAAAGCTCACTTATAGCTAGTTAATAGAGTATGCGTAGATTTTGCTGAGTTAATAAATCCAATGCAAAGTACCACTTGTACATGATGATGTAGATAGCTTCACTATAGGTATCCTGAAGCATGGAGTTCTTCATGCACAATAGTTTGTCCTTTGTGTGAAAAGATAATTTGCTGACCATTTGTGCACGGAAGTCCTCATCATCAGCAGGACTTAACTTGAGATGATTCAAGCCAATTGCAAGAAATGCTCTTTAGAAAGAAGAATTTACAAGACTTGCTCATTAAACTATGTAAATTAATTGTAACTTGAAAAGAGGAAAAAAGGCTCTAGTTTCACTTTTTTAAGTTTGGGGAAGATGAGTTGCAAATAATGATCAAGAAGAAAGTCATTCTGTCTAAATTAGGGCATGGTGGATCTTCAGCTTGAATGTTTATCTTGAGAGAATGAGAAAGAGAAACAGAGAGAGGGAGAGAAATAGATAAAGGAAAAAGAAGGTCAGTGAATATGATGAAAAGCACAAGGGCATTTTAGTAGGTAGAGAGATTAAAACCTAAAACCATGAGGGTTCTTTCATATTTTTTAAAATCTAATAGAAATATGATGAGAAAGAGAAAGATGTTGAAGATATACAGAAAGAATATCAAGTAGAGCCATTGATCTTAACTATAAATATAAGGCAGAGATGCATTGAAAATAAAGGCCACAAACTGCAAATGAATGAAAACACTTAGTATGTCACAAACATGACAAACAAAAAGCTCCTGGAATTTTTCAGACTGAGATGGCCTTATTTCATTGGTGGTGGATCCCAGTTGAGTGTCAACCCTCAACGAGTGGGCAGAGACCCCTGCCTGAATCTCCTGAGTCACACGGCGCACACTGCATCCCATTAGGACTGATACTGTTTTGCAACAGCTTAACTAATACAATTTCAATATTTAACCAAAATCTGCTTTCCTGTAACGTTCCCACTGGGGGCTTCATTTGGCTGTCTGGACCGGGCCTCTCTGCTTCATGAGTTTCCATAGATTTCTTGGTGAATATTCTTCTCGTGCATCCTGTTCTTTGATGTATTGATTTTCAACAATACATCAAAATCAGGTACAAGGCAGACCTTTTCTTTGTTGGATTCCAAATGTACAAGGACTCAATCTTGATTACATCCTAATGCTGACGTTTCTAGACAATATTTATTTGCTGTTCTTTGTTTCCCTTTGTTTCTCTTGCTCTATAAATTTCTCCAAAATCCTAACATGTTGTTTGAAATTTGGTTGTTTCTTCTTATGCAAGTTTGCATTTCAAGTTATTTTATAGCCTAGATATATAGGAATCCTGCTTTCCTCCGAATGTGTAAAAATTAATAACTGTTAATAGTCCTCTGCTATCTAAGTTTTAGGTTTGACATAAGGGAGGTGGTTTGAGGCTGAAGCCGTCTGATGTGGTTTGGCTTTGTGTCCCTACCCAAATCTCATGTCAAATTGTAATCACCCATGTTGGAGGAGGGGCCAGGTGGGAGGTGATTGGATCACTGGGGTAGATTTCCTTCTTTCTGTTCTCATGATGATGAGTGAGCTCTCACGAGTTCTGGTTGTTTAAAAATCTGTAGAACCACCCACTTTGCTCTCTTCCTCCTGCTCCAACCGTGTAGAAAGTGTCTGCTTGCCCTTCGCCTTCTACCATTGTAAGTTTCCTGAGGCCTCCCCAGCCATGCTTCCTGCACAGCCTGCAGAACCGTGAGCCAATTATACCTCTTCTCTTTCCCTTTTTTTTTTTTTTTTTTTTTTTTGACGGTGTTGCTCTGTTGCCCAGGCTGGAACGCAGTGGTGCAGTCTCCTCACACTGCAGCCTCTGCCTCCCAGGTTCAAGCAATCTCAGGCCTCAGTCCCTGAGTAGCTGGGACCACAGGCATGTGCCACCACACCCAGCTAATTTTTTTTTTGTCTTTTTAGTAGACACAGGGTTTTGCCATGTTGGTCTCGAACTCCTGGCCTCAAGTGATCCACCCACCTCAACCTCTCAAAGTGCTGGGATTATAGGCGTGAGCCACTGTGCCTGGCTGAACCTCTTTTCCTTACAAATTACGCAGTCTTGGGTAGTTCTTCATATTAAGTTGTTGCGCCAACCTATAGCAATGTGAGAACAGACTAATAACACTGTCCATACAAATACAGGAAATGTAGATCTCTTGTACATTTGGAATCCAACAAAGAAAAGGTCTGCCTTGTACCTGATCTTTATGTATTCATCAAAATCAATACATCAAAGAACAGGATGCACAAGAATAATATTCACCAAGAAACCTACAAAAGCCCATAAAGTCGCTTGTTTCTTCAGGATAAAACTTTAGATCACTGTTTTGGCATGAAAGCAAAGTATCACCTTGGCAGAAGACTGTGTCAACCCTCCAGTAGGCATGCTGACATCTTGATTGTTTTCTGCTCTTTTGCTTCTCATCATTTTATTGGACAGGGTATAGCCCAGCTAGCTGGATTCAGTGTCATATTTCATATTGGCAAAGAAAACTTGTGATTGAAAGTAAGGTTTCTCTACCAGACAACTTTTACAAAGAATCCAATGGTGTACTCTTTCAATAATTTATTTCCCTTGCTCCCCAAAAGTCAATCATTTACCAATCTTATTACTTGTTCATTTGCAACTGTGTACCCACCCCACTGTTGCCAGCTGCCCCTACTATGCTGTAACAGTGAGTTCAGAGCATCACTATCACACGTTGTCTATGATAGCAAATTCTTCTTTGTTCTCCATGCAGCAAAAATTACATCTGTTGTCTCATCTCGATTTGAAAAACCTCTCAGCAATTCTAGGAACAGGTAGCCACCAGTCCAAAAGAATGCTGGACAAAATTGTAGTAGTAGTTTGTGGTTTTCCTTTCTTCCTTTTGAAATATTTCTATCTTTATAATCTCTTAACATTATCTGAGTCCTATCTAAGGCATTTTAGTAAGTAGAGCATTTTAGTAGGAAAGAGAAAAATCAACTTCCTAAGCACCTCCTCCCCTCAATGCTTTGAAGTCTCAGCACATATGCTCATGGGACAAATGACACTTTTGTAAAAGAAGAAACAGAAAACCTGCCAATTGACTGAATATTGGGAATAAACAAGCAGGGATTTCCACTTTTTAAAGAATTCTTCACTTTGTTAAGAATTTACATGATGACTCTTTCTGTGGTACTATAGAGCCTCCTCCACAGTGAAATTGAGAAGGAGATTGGGACTTGATATGCAAACTCAAGTATATAACTGGTTCATTAGAGAGAAATGAATGATAAATATCAGTTTCATGGAGATGGCAGGAAAATCACAAGATAGAGCTTGACCACTGAGATTTCTAGAGCTTGACCACTGAGATTTCTAGAGCTTGGCCACTGAGATTTCTAGTGTGGAGATACTATATGCTGGTAGCAATTGTACAAAGATACATTTATGGATAGAAATCCAGGGGAAAGAAGAGGTAGTTCATCTTCACAGATTCCAACTGAGAAAGGGCAGAGGAAAACATGGCAATGTCTCCTGAAGGCTGCTAGGCCACTGTTTCACTTTGTGCAGATTCATGACGCCAGTCTGGGAAGAGTTCGCTTCCTGGTACCTGGTACAGATGGGGTTATCCCACCTCTTCTGACACACATGCCATAGAAAAAACCATTCATTCATCTATTTCATTATTTTTACTGAATATTTTATATGTGCCAACCACTGTGCTAAGCAGCAAATATAGAATAGTGCATGTAAATTAATAAAAGCACAAATATATATAATTACACTCACTGGAGTTCAAAGTGCCAGTGACAATAATGATGGTGATAGCAGCCAACAGTCACTCTGCATCCCCTCCACATGAGACACTGTGCTAAGTGCCTTTATCTGCAGTATCTGAACAAACTTCAGGCCAGGCAGGAGAGCACAGCTCAATTTGCTTCGTTCTTGTCTGAGACTCCCAGTGGTCACATTGCTGTCTTCACCACAGAGCCCCTTGTAGAGCCAAAATACCATGGTGAGGGAGGGTGGATACAAAACATTCACATTGCACACCTTCACCTTCCTCTAGCAGCCCCTGGGCTGTCACCGTGGCAGCACTTTGATGCTCAGCCCCTCAGACCTGTTGTGTTGGCAGGAAACCAGCTAACTGAAGCAGAGTAAATGAAGCAAACACCGCCTCTTGAAAGGGCCATGGTATGGCTGATGAGGAGACCCAGGATCAGTTACTGCTGTCTTCATAGCTTGCATGACCACAGGCCAGTCATTCAGTCCGTCTGTGTGTTTCTTCATCTAGCAAGTAGGAAGGAGAAACACTCACATGTCTTCAAATCCACATGTGTCAAATCCAAATATGCTCTTCCCTCTTCCTGCTGGACATTCTGTGATGCAGATTCTCCTTCCGCTTCTTACATCTGTTTTTCTTTCCTTCAACCTCAGTGCATGTTGTCATTTATAGTCAAGCAATTCATTCCTATTTCTTCTCACCACCCACTTTGTGCAGAGCCTTTTACGCTAGAACCTGCCCAAGAACAGGAAGACCTGGGTTCCATTGCAGATAACCCCAGGGTTCCTTCCCTCCCACACTGTAGTTAATCCCAATTGCCTGGCACCAACTCATACCTGAGCTGTGGAATCAATAATTTCTGGATTTTATGATCCCCTTGTAAACGCTGGCAAAATCAATGAGATTTCCATACCAGAGGGTGGGGAACAATGAAGTAGATGCTATTGATAATTAGTTCTTTTACAGAAATGCAAGGTAAGTACAGGGTGTTTATGCCACTTTTATGCATAATGAGGCATTTATACAAACAACATCCACACAGCTAGTTGAACTGCCTGGAGCAAAATAATATTCAACCTTCAAATTTAATAACTGCATAAACTTAGAACTGATAGGATGCTTTCTGCTCTGGTTTTGAAGTGCCTAATTAAGTACATTCAAGGAGGTTATTTTGTTTTGTTTTGCTTTTAGCCCCCTCCCTTTGAAACCCACTTGTGGTCAGTGTTAGAGAGCTGATGGTTTTCTTAATGTGTCATTGTTATAGAACATGCCTGTGATTCTGTATTCTTCAGTGTAATACCTGTGTTTCTGTGAAATAATCTGTGAGATTTCATGCTAAGCATTGCTCTTGTCTTTTCTATTTTTATTCTAAGTATATTAACTGATTTCCTTGGAGGGACGTGCTTGCAAGCTTGGGTGTATCTTGGTTTATCTAATAAACATGCTCCTGGCACATATTGTGTAAATCTAATTTTAACAAATTGAATCATATATTTAAATGCCTGAGGGGCACTCATTTTAAGAAATTAATCATATTCTGAATTTTCAGGGAATTTTTACACCCAAATTTTATTTTCTGATAATCTAGGTTTTCACTTGATTTGCTTTATTTAGGTGACACTGTACCAAATTATTAAATTCATTGAGGAATTTTTAAAAGCAAGGCATTGAGGGAAAGGATTCTGGGAAGATGGTAGAGTAAAAAGCACCAGGCATCTGCCTCCCTACCTAGACAACAATTGCATTGACAGAATCTGTCTGATGGAACTTTTTTTGAAGTCTGGCATCTATTCTAAGGATTGAAACATTCACAGAAAGGCTTAGAAGGTAAATTGTGGTTAATTTCAGTCATATAAGCTGGTAGCAAAGTGGCAGCTACCCATCCCCCAGTCCTATGGCAGGGAGCTGTGCACCTGTTCCTAGAGTAGCTTGCACACAGCTTGTGGGAGCCAGTGCAGGTGAAAAGGACCCTTTCCTCCAAAACTTGGGGACCTGTGTTCTGATTGCTGCTTCTGAATGTGGAGCTGCAAACACAGAGGGGGCAACTATTGCTGTATCCCTCCCTCATTTGTTGCAAGCCCCTCCCCCTCTGGTTGAAGCAATTTCCAGGGAACTTATATGGCCAGTAACCCCCTTTTTCTTTTTTTCTCCTTCCCCCTCATTTTTCTCCTTTGCTTCTTTTGGAAACCAGGCATTTAAAAGCAATCACATGTGCAAAGGCAACTAGAAAGTCACTATGCATGCCCAAGGAAAGGCACAGGCCTAAAGAAGACCTGAGAAGACCTTAGGTTTACACCTCAGGCTGGTCAACAGCACAGATACAACAGAGAACAATTTTTTTAAAAGAAAAACCTGGGGAAGGGGGTAGTCTGATTTCCAGAGTTACTATGTCATTAGATCAAATATCCAGTTTTCAACAAAAATCACAAGGCATACAAAGAAACAGGAAAGTATTGTCCATTCAAAGTAAAAAATAAATCAATGGAAACTGTCCCTAAGAAACAACAGATAGTAGACATTGCTAGACAAAGGCTTTAAAAACAACTATCTTAAAGATACTCAAAGAACTAAAAGAACATGGGGAGGAAGTCAAGAAAACAATGTATGAACAAAATGAAGATACCAATAAAAAAATTTAAAAAGTCTAAAAAGAAACCAGCTTCACAACTGGAACTAAAAAGGACGGTAACTGAGAGAAAAAATTTATCAGGATACAAAAGCATGTTAGAGTGGACAGAAACATCATCTGTGAATTTAAAGATAACACAATAAATTACAGAATCTGAGGAATAGAAAGAAAAAGCATTTCTCTTTTGAAAAAGTGGACAAAGAGTGAGGGACCTGTGGAACATCATAAAGTGGACCAGCATGTTCATTGTGGGATTCTAGGGAGAAGAGAGAGAGAAAGCGGTAGAGAAGTTATTCAAAGAAATAATGGCTGAAAACTTTCTAAATATGATGAAAGCCATGAATGTAAACATCCAAGAAGTTCAACAAACTCTAAGTAGGATGAACTCAAAGAGAACCACACTGAGACATATTATAATCAAACCATCAAAAGACAAGCAATCTTGAAAGCAGTGAGAGAAAAAGGACTCATCACGTATACAGAATACTCCAAAGATTAACAACTGACTTCTCATTAGAAACTATGGAGGCCAGAAGACAATGGGCTAATGTATTTAGCAAGGAAAAACAAAACAAACAAACAAAAAAAATTGTCAACCAAGAACCCAATATCCAGCAAAACTGTATATCAAAAGCAAAGGGGAAATTGAGACATTCCCAGGTAAGCAAAAGCCAAGGGAGTTTGCTACTGCTACACCCACCCTGCAGAAAACACTAAAAGGAGGCCACAGATTGAAATGACTAGAAATTAGCTTGAAGCCATATGTAGAAATAAAGGTCTCGGTAAAGGTAAATACATGAGCAATTATAGAAACTAGTATTGTTTCACTTTGGTGTGTAACTCCACATTTTGTTTTCTACATTATTTAACCTATTAATGCATAAAAAATACAAGTTCATGTTTTTGGACATACATACAGTGTATTAAGACGTAATTTTGTAATATCGATAACTGATCCCAACACTTTGGGAGGCCGAGGTGGGCAGATTATTTGAGGCCAGGAGTTTGAGACCAGCCTGGCCAATATGGCAAAACCCTGTCTCTACTAAAAATATAAAAACTAGTTGGGCATGGTGGTGCGCCCCTGTAATCCCAGCTACTTGGGTGGCTGAGGCACAAGAATTGCTTGAACCCAGGAGGTGGAGGTTTCAGTGAGTCGAGATTGTGCCACTGCACTTCAGCCTGGGTGAGAGAACTGAGACTCTGTCTCAAAAACAACAACAACAACAAAACCTGAAAAGGGTGAGGGTGCTGTTGCATAGGAGCATTTTTTGTGTGTGTTATTGAAGTTAAGTTGGTATCAATTCAAATTGGAGTCTTATAACATTAGGATATTAAACGTAATCCTTAGGGTGACCACAAAGAAAATAGCTATAGAATATTTACAAAAAGAAATGAGAAGCAAATTAATTCACTACACAGATAAAGACTAAGAATGAAGACTGAATTCTAACATCCATATATATATGCATGTTATTCAGTCTTGGGAATAAAGGAAATCCTATTTGGAGTGTCATGAATGAACCTGGAGGACATTATACTAAGTAAAATAAGCCAGACACAGAAAGAAAAATATTACATGATCTCACTTATATGATGAATCTAAAATAATCAAACTTAAAGAAGCAGAGAATGGAATGGTGGTTCCCAGGGGCTGTGGGGTGGGAGAAATAGGGAGATGTTGGCTAAAAGGTACAAAATTTCAGTTATAAGATGAATAAATTCTGGAGAGCTAATGTACAGCATGGTGACCACAGTTAATTATACTCTATTGCATACTAGAAATTTCCTGAGAGTAGATATCAAATGTTCTCAGCATCAAAAAAAAAAAAAAGGTAATAATGTGAGGTGATGGATATGCTAATTAGCTTGATTATGATAATCATTTCACAATGTATTCATATATCAAAACATCATGTGTACAACTTAAGTATATACAATTTTTATTTGTCAATTATATCTCAACAAAGCTGGAAATAAAAGAGGAAGCTTCTTTAAAGATGTGTCTATGATTTCCCAGTGACATGGATCATTTAGGATTGTAATCAACCATTGAAACTGTTAGTTAGCCAACTAAATCTCTTATATACAAATAGAAACCTTGAATCTCATAAAATCAATACTTAATGAATACCTACTGCATGCTGAGTTCCAGAGACACATGAATAAAGGCGATGTAGGCTGTGACCTTATTATACTGGGCTGGATTCTGTGGGGTGGGACTGAGTAGAGGGGATGACTCGCTTTATCTGGGGGCATCGGGGAAGGCTTTCTAGGGGACCAGTCTGGATCTTGGAAAAAGCAGAGAGCTACTTTATGCTTTAATCTGCATTAAAATTGTCCAGTGGTAAAGCTTGATATGCTGTGTGGATGGTAAATGTTTCTTACTTAATCAGAAAAGCATCCTAAGAGTGATGGATTCTAAATTGATTTTTACTGCAGTGGATGCATACAAAATGAATGAAGGGAATTAGTCTATAGTTCCCCCACGCCCCTACCCTAAGAGATAGTTTGTGTGAAAGATTATACATGAGTGAGGAAACAACAGGGCCAAACCTGAAGGATGAAAACTGATTGACGGACTTGAGTTGAAAATAAAAACAAGCAGGACGAGGCTGCGATTGCAATGTGAAGTCAGCATGCATCTACTGTAATTTATTCAAATCCAACCAGGCCCAGAGAGCAGGCCAGGCCCCCTTCTGTCCACTCCACCTTCCACGCTACTCTTGGGTCCACACTCTGGAGAGACCATGAGATCAAACATAAGAATCCTGCATTCCTCTGTCAGTTTCAGCTCTTCACCTGCCTCTGAAGTGTAGTAATTACGTCATGGCCCTCCAGTGCAACCACGCCCTAACAGAAGCGAGCCACTTCAGCTGCTGCATCTATTCCAATGCTGGAAGAAAAGCTATTCATGCCTATGGGCATTTGGGGCCTATAGGACCTTAATCCCTGCTTGCCCTCCCAAGCTGAGATATAGTTACACTTCTAGAGGACAGGGAAACTTCCTGAGGGGTGTATTAGTGCATTCTCACACAGTTGTAAGGAAATACCTGAGACTGTGTAATTTATAAAGAAACAAGGTTTGATGAGCTCATGGTTCTGCAGGCTGTACAGGAAGCATAGCGGCTTCTGCTCCTGGGCTTCTGCCTCAGGAAACTTACAATCGTGGCAAAAGGCGAAGGAGAAGCAGGCCCGTCTTACATGGTTGGAGCAGGAGCGAGATTAGGGAGCAGATACTACGCACTATTAAATGACCAGATCTCAGATGAACTCATACACTATCGTGAGGACAGTACTGAGGGGGAAATCCGCAGCCATGATCCAATCACCTCCCACCAGGCCCCACCTCCAACACTGGGGACCACAATTCGACGTGATATTTGGGCAGGGAAATAGGTCCAAACTGTATCAAATGGGGGGGATGTGTCTGGGTGGAAGTGAGTCTTTTATATATTTGGAGTGATTGAGAGAGTCAGAACAACAGTGTGTGCAGAGCGCTCTTGGTTGTAGAGACCAGCGACAGCAGTCCAGGTATGACGGAAATGAAAATGTTAGCCATGGCTTAGCAAAGGTCTTTTGAAAGAAACGAGTGTAGATGTTTGCTCATGGCACTATTTCTAGGGCTTAGGTCAGGGGCTCAAGGGCCATTCTCAAGGGTTTGCACCAGGATAATGGAGAGGAGGAAAAAGCCTGAGAAGTTGGCACCTTAAAATCAGCAAGACTGAAGAGTTCATTAAGTATGGGCTGCAGAGAAGAAGATGATTCAAAAATGACTGAGAAGCTTGGGTGTTAGGATGGTGATGCCGTTTTCAGCACTGGAGAACACAGGAGACGCAGGTGGTGCATTGAGTCCTGGACGTGGTGAGTCGGAGGTGCTGCAGGGATCCCCAGACGAGCACTCACAGAAGCAAGTTGGAAGGGCAGGCTCTCCATGCCTGTCCCGTGGCCAGCATCATTTCTCCACTCCCTGTCACCCTCGGAGGAAGAGTTTCATCCAAAAGCTGGGTGAGCATGCCCAGGTACAGCTAGGAAAGTGGAAAATCAGAAAGCCAGGAGAGGAAAATCAGAAGTTGAATAAAAGGAGGATGAATTCAGGGAACACTCATCCCACACTGTCTAGCGTTACCCTTCAGGGTCCCTGCAAACCATCTAGGAAAGAGCATCACAGTGGAACTCCCAGTCACACTTGTGAATGTGGAACCCTTCTTGGTGCCAGCAACAAGTACAGAATTACTGAGTGGCCCCTGTGCTGTGGCTTCAGCTCACTGCTCAAGGGCAGGGGCCACCTAGAGACTGAGGCCGCCTGGCTCCAGCCACTGGGGAGGTTTCCTACCCCAGCACTAAGGAGGCTGGTGGTGAGGGCTCCCAGGAAATCAGAAAGGTCATGAAAGGAGTGGAGGTTTTGAGATTGCAAAAGAAAATTTCTGGCCAGGTCCAGTAGCTCATGCCTGTAATCCCAGCACTTTGGGAGGCCAAGGTAGGTGGATCACTTGAGATCAGGAGTTGGAGACCAGCCTGGCCAACATGGTGAAACCCCATCTCTACTAAAAATACAAAATGAGCTGGGCTTGGTGGTGGGAACCTGTAATCCCAGCTACTCAGGAGGCTGTGGCAGGAGAATTGCTTGAACCTGGGAGGCGGAGGTGGCAGTGAGCCGAGATTGCACCACTGCACTCCAGACTGGGTGACAAGAACGAGACTCTGTCTCAAAAAAAAAAAAAAAAAGTTTCTAATGAAAAAGGGAGGCAAGGTCACTATGTGGAGATTAGATAATCAAACTCTGAAACTGTTCAGCTGGGTAGAAGAAAGCAAGATCATGGATGTGACAATGTGTTGATGTTCATGCTTGTTGTCTTACCTAATGTACAGGCAGAGAATTGACAACATGGCTGTTCTTAAAATTAGGTTGAGGTTTAAGAGAACTAAGCCTGTAAGAGTGATGAAGGCTGACTTAAGCATTCCGTCTTAACTGGGACATAGAAAACCTCGAGTCTGCTATTGACTCTGTCAGTAATTCATTATGTGGCATTATATATATAGTCTCTGTGCATTAGGGGAGAAACCGAGGTGAAAACAGGAATTATTTCCTCAGAGCACACTGACTGCCAAGGTGTTTATACACTGCACAAGGAAGAGGAAAATAATACTTGCCACCTACCTACCCATTAGGGGTGACGTCTGGAGAGAGGCATTCAATTTTCGGATGAACGGGTTTATGAATAGCAGCGTATCACCTGCTTCTGATCTGTCTTATTTTTGCATCAATTCACCTCCTGAGTGATAGTGGCAATGGTGCCACTTGTCCTTTGAGTCACTGATTCCATGTCTCCTCACCCAGGGCATGTGGAAGGGAAGGTTTGAGAGAAGTGAGGCCCCATTCTTTAAGGTGTGATAGAACATTACTAATTAAACACAAAAAAATATTTTTTAAGCAAAGTTACTGCATGGCTAATGTATTTTATTTATAGATCCCCGTTTCTGGGTCCTTTAAAGGAAAACTGTTATTCATGTTAGGCTGATCCTACCTTACCTATGTCACTTGCTAACTTAGTAAAGAACTCTTTTTAAAAATTCAGAGAGTGTCATATTTATTTTCCATACATCTTGTCATTTACTATATATGTTTGTAAACAAATATGTTCCATTTCTTAGGAGACATCTGGTTTCTAACTGGTTTGACTTAATAAGGTAACAGAAGTTCCATGTTCAATCTGCCTTCAAGGGTTGCATTCTCTTAGTGATTTAATGCTTCAAATAGTGTTTCATTCAAGGGCAGATTCTGATTCTCTATTTCTCTCCTCTCACCTCCTCTTTCCTTCTCAGACATGTGGGAAGTGACCCTTGCATAGAGACTCGGAAAAACTCTGAAAACAGAACACATAAAGCTTTAGGATATTTTCAATGACCCATTCCTGTTCTTTCCTTTACTTGAAAAAGTTCAGAAAGTCCAGGTCTAGGTCACATTCTAAGAGAGCTCACCCAGAGTGGACTCTGCTTAACCAAAGCCTTCAAGGGGCTCTTTCAGGCATGAGCAGGAAAATACATCCACAAGAGTCCCCGCTGCATGCAGATCCCAGGGCCATCTGCTGTGCTCTCAGAGATGCTCATTGTTGTCATT
Organism: Homo sapiens; assembly: GCF_000001405.40. Lineage (NCBI taxonomy): Eukaryota > Metazoa > Chordata > Mammalia > Primates > Hominidae > Homo > Homo sapiens. The sequence continues at coordinate 163,119,162 of NC_000006.12, forward strand.
TAACTGCGAGGGCCACAGAGGGGACAACTGCAGATTCCTGCTCTACAGCTAGACTCCTGGGGCCCAATACAGGCCACAGCTCTTCGCAGCCATGAGATATGCGAGCACGCTGCCTAACTCATCTGTACCACCATGTTCTCGTCTGTGAAACTTGGGTATTAACAGTACTTACCTCATGGGTTTGTTTCAAGGATTGAGTCAATATTAGCAAAGCATTCAGGACACCACCTGGCACCCAGTGAGTGTGACGTAAATAGTAAAGAAATTGGCTTTTCCTGGCACGATGATCAAGTGATTGGTGCCCAGCAGCTCTAAGCAAACTGTCTTTGAAGGGAGAGAAGAAGCCCCAGCAGAGATTGTTCAGAACAGCTCAACGTCATGCAGGAGTTGCTCAGCTACACCCATCTCGGGATGATGGAGACTCCAAGTGTTACGTATTTTGCAAGCTTCATAAATCTGACCAGATATAGACAGGAGATTGTAACCTGTGCTTTTTGTTTATGAATCTTGTATTGAGTTGTTGAAGATGGTTAGGACAATTTAATGTTGCATAAAAACCACTTCTTGTAACATCTTAATAGTGAGAATAGGAGGGTCAAGGCAAGAAAAGTGCTGAGAAAACAATCCCCCCAAAAAGTTTCTCTCTTAATTTCAACATCATTTTATGTATTTTTGTTGTTGTTGTTGTTGGTTTGTTTTATAGCTTTAAATGTTAGGATTACATTTTGGGGCTTATTATTCAAATCAAATATCTGGCACCATTCATTTTCTGCTTCCACATTTGAAAGACCAAATGTTCATCATTTCTGGTGTCGGTTCAGCCTCTGGCCTCCTTTCTAAGACACATTTTGTAGAGTATTAGTTTTCCCATTCATAGCACGAGAAAAATAATACATTCCTTTTTTATAATAGAAATGTGATTTGAGGTTGCTTACAGAGTAGGTAGAGGTTTAGGGGGAAAGGCTGTGTTTTGTGTGGCTCTAGGATGAATTATATGAAATAAGATAAGAGGGAAAGCTATAGTGGGTCACTTGAATACTGACCTAGTATTCAACTGTTTTTGAAAAGAAGTTCTGCTCTGCTGTAACTCCTGCTGGCCTTCCAGAAGCATCAGCTGTGTCACACCACAAGTCTTAAAGGATCTCCCTTGTTTCCACTGCACATCTGCCCCCATGAATAAACTAAGTGGGCAACATGGTCATGGTTATGTGTTCTTAGCTACTCTGTCCTCAGTGTGTGAAATGCCCACCTTTAGGGGCGCTGTTGGGGTGAGGCATTTTAGCTCCCAAAGGATCCTATTAGAGTTTGAAGGCCCTGAGACCAGACAGCCACACTGCACAGAGGGGCAGCCTGGACCCACGGGACATGAGATGAGTTAATCCACAGTTAGCCAAGAGGTTACCGCAGAGGTAGATATTCACTTATTCAAAATTTAAGTGCCTACTATGTGCAAGGCAGAAATCTGCGTCTACTTTCTCCTCATCAGCAAAAGTAGTTCTACTTTTGTTTTTGGTTTTTCTTTTTAAGAAAAAAAAAATACTGTGGACTTCTGTATAATACTCATTTTAGCCAAAGAATTCTGCAACTGAAGAGTTTGAGTCAGTCTCCATGGCATCCCTGGATGAGTTCTGGTCATGAAGGAGCTCAAATGATCCTTGTCAGCCGGGGGAATAAGCTAGACCCAGGCCCTCCCATGCCTGGCCTCATTCCTTTTTCAAGGGAACAATGCCATACCTCACTAGACCCTAGCTATACATTCCTCCAGCCAAATGCCAGGAAGCATCTGACCATGAGACTTTAAGAGCAAAATGTTGCTTAAAGAAAAAAATGGGAGCTGTTCTAAATTCAAGAGCTAATAGATATACTCTTCCATTTTCTATGGTCAAAGTCATAACATAACAACATCACTACAAATTTAAGAAATAGCTACAGTTAATTCAGTAGATATTGTAGTGAATGAATGCCTGAAATATGGTTTGAGGGTCACATATTTAACCTCATCAAACCTCAATTTATTCATCAAAAAATAGAAGTGATCATTATTTTGTTGTGAAGAACAAATATTATAAAGGACCTTATAAACCATAAAGCATTATACATAGTTTATCCTTCTCTTTTCCATTCCTTAAGCAGGACTGTCAGTGCAATTGCCTTATATTTTAGTGCTATGGAGTACCCTTATCTTTTTGCTAAATATTACAAATCCTTTTGCTTACAAATTAGTCTGTCACTTCTATTCGATGGATTATCTGTCTACCTCGGGGCTTCTGTGATGCACAGAGTCATGGGCTCACTCTCTTTGGCTCATCTTGTAGGTTTGCAATCACTCTTACAACTGTCACTTCCAGCCGATCCAGGACTGCTGCGGCCTCTCTGCTCTGAAATACACCTAGTATGTGAATTTCACATCACTTCTCAGTCATAAAACAGACCCATCAGAAGCTCATTTTCCTAAGTTTATTTTAAATTTATAGAGCATTCATTTCATCCTTCTCGGTAATCTTTTTTTTTTTTTTTTTTTTGAGACAGAGTCTCCGTCTGTCACCCAAGCTGGAGTGCAGTGGCACGATCTCAGCTCACTGCAAGCTCCGCCTCCTGGGTTCACACCATTCTGCCTCAGCCTCCCGAGTAGCTGGGACCACAGGTACCCGCCACCATGCCTGGCTAATTTTTTGTATTTTTAGTAGACACGGGGTTTCACCATGTTAGCCAGGATGGTCTCAATCTCCTAACCTTGTGATCTGCCTGCCTCGGCCTCCCAAAGTGCTGGGATTACAGGTGTGAGCCACCACGCCTGGCCGGTGATCTTTTTCTCTTTCTCTTTTTTCTTTTCACTTGCTGCTATTCTATACATGCGGAGGAGTTTTTGGAAGGAAAAGAGGGCGCCTTATTAATGGTCATTTTCTACTAATGGTGATTTTGATACTATTAGATACCTACTATGGGCATTGAAATTGGTCTCTAGTTCCATTGAGAAGAGTAGAAAAATTTCTAGTATAAGTACATTCATAATGTTTAGATAATATCTTGAGAAAAAAATAGACAAATTCACAAGTTCTTCTTTGACTTGATAGATTTCTGAGTTCTCATGTGTTTGTCCATCTTCATTCTGCTTTAACGCATTTACACACACACACACACACTTCCTTTTCTATTTGTTCAGCTTTACTGAGATGTAATTGTGCTATAGTTGGTTTGTGTGACCCCTCCGAATCGCTTGTTGAAATTTGATCCCCACTGTTAGAGGTGGAGCCTACCGGGCGGTGTTTGGGTGGTACAGGCAGATCCCTCGCGAATGGCTTGGTGCCCTGCCCATGGTAATGGGTGAGTTCTCACCCTGCTGTTCCCACAAGAGCTGTTTGTTTAAAAAAGCCTGGCACCTCCCCCTCGCTCTCTCGCTTCCTCTCTTGCCACATGATCCCTTCGCAACAGCTCCCCTTCGACTTCCACTGTGACCAGATGCAGCCCCAGAAGTAGACACTGGTGCCACGCTTCCTGTGTAGCCTGCAGAATCGGAAGACAAAAAACCCCTTTCCTTCATAAATTACCCAACCCCAGGTATTATTTTATAGCAACACAAGTGGACTAAGACAAATTGGTATATGAAAACCACACATAATTAATGTGTACAATTTGGTGAGTTTGGAGGTATACATACATTTATGTTACCATCACCACAACAAGGAGACAGACACATCCATCATCTCCAGAAGTTTCCTTTTGCGTGTCTGTGTGAGGGAAGAAAACTTAACATAAGACTACTGATACAGCTCCGAAGACTGGAGAAACACCAGGGTCCTTTGTCTCATGCCAATGCTATTAACGACAAGGACACCCGTGGAGTGGTTTTAAGGAGCGGAGAGTTTAACAGGCAAGAAACAAGAAAGAAGAAAACAGCTCCCCGGTACAGAAGGAGCTGGGCTCCTAACGGAGAAAAACCCCGTGTGCCCAGGAAAAACAGTTGTTTATACCTGGAGGCTGGAGGAGGCGGTGTCTGATTTGCTTAGGGCCCAGGGGATTGGCTTGACCAGGTGTGTCATTCACATAGCCAACCTGGTCCTCCCACCCTAGCCTTTTAATATGCAAATGCGGGTCGGCATGATGTCCTGCACACGTGGTGTTATTTGGAGGCAGCCATGACAGCTGTGGTGACAAGGAGAAGAGGGCGGGAACCGCCATGTCGGGTGGACCTGGTTTTTAGCTGCTGGCATTTACATATCAATGTTGCCAGCCTGGTTTTTCAAGCTGCTTTCTGTTAGAAAGGAAATGGTTTGGGGGGTCGCTTTTTATTATAGGAAAATTCCACCAAGAACTCTCACCCTTTCTAGCTGCCTAAAAATTATTTCTTAATAACTCCTATATTACTACCCTCCTAACAGAATTTTAAGTGCACAATACCTTATCGTTAACTCTAGGCACCGTGTTGTACAGGAGATCTCTGGAACTTATCTTGTGTAACTGTAATTTGATAATCCATTGAACAGCAACTCTGCATATGCCCCCTCTCCATCCGCTAGTAACCAGCGTTCTATTGTCTACTTCTGTACATCTGACTATTTTTAGATGCTCCATATAAGAGGAATCACTCAGTATTTCTTCTTCTCTGACTATTTCACCTAGCATAATGTCTTCCAGATCTGTCCGTGTTGTCACAAATGGTAGTATTTCCTTCTTTTTAAAGCCAGGATAGTATTCTACTATATGCATATACCACATTTCATTCATCAGTGGACAATTGGGTTGCTTGCACATCTTGGCCACTGTGAAGGATGCTGCAGGGAACATGGGAGTGCAGATGTTTCTTCGAGATCACAATTTCAGTTCTTTTGGGTATATACCCAGCAGTAAGATTGCCTGCTTATATGGTATTCTATTTTAATTTTTTGAGGAACCTCCATGCTGCTTTCCATAGTGGCAGCAGTATGTATTCTTTGGAGAAATGTCTATTCAAGTCCTTTGCATGTTGTAATTGTGTTTTTTGGGAGTTTTCACTAGTGAGTTGTAGGAGCTCTTTGTATATTTCAGAAATTAACTCCTTATCACATACATGGTTTGCAAATATGTTCTCCCATTGCATAGGTGGCCTTTCCACTCTGTTGATTGTTTCCTTTGCTGTGCAGAAATTGATGCTGGGGGAAAAAGGGGATTTGAAGTATAGGCCAACTTCAGAACAATTTGACCAGGACTTGCTAAGTTTTTTTTTAAATTAGGAAAATACATAGAATGTGACTTAAAAAAATAATCAATTACCTAAGACCTTGTCTACTGGGTCTTAAGTTGAATTTCTAAATTCTGGAGCCAACTATGTGACCTTGGGCACGTGAACAAAAGTTAATTCTATAAACTAGTTTAAATCCTGTAGGAATATAACATTATTTTATTTTATTTTATTTTTCTTAAGAACTTTTTGGAAAAGAGGCTGAGGAGGTTAGGAAAGAGCCTCTGATTTTATGAAGAAATGTCCAGCATTTCCCCAGGAATGGGATTCCACACAAGAACACCAGCTGGAGCAGTGCCGTAGAGTCAAAGGAAGGAAGAGGCTGCAGTTCGGCACCAGTGGGGAAGCCAAGGGCATCTTGCATGCTGGCACCTTCGAGAGGCCGTACAGCTGGAGGGTGCACTTTGCATTGCCCCATGTAGGCTCTGTAATTAATATGGCTGTAAATTTTGAAAAACTGTTATTCTGGCAGTCAAAAATAATCCCCTATATATAGGCATCATGTAAACTTTTAAAACGTCTTTCACATCCTTCAAAATGTATAATCTCATGAATTACAGTCTCATGAAAATATAGCAAATAAATATTTGGAATTATAAGAGAGGAAAAAATAAAGAAGTGAAAAGGATTTGCCCTACTCCAAACAAAGCAATGCAATTGTGCAACGGAAGGATAAGTCATAAGAAAACAGTAGAGCGTTCAGAAAAAACTCCAAGAGTGTATGTGGGAATGTAGAAATTCAATAAAGGTGATATTTTAAATCAGCAAGGAAAGACTAGATTATTTATTAAATGAAATTGAGTTAATTGATTCTCCATTTAGAAGAAAATAAAGTCAGGAGGTATGTCTCATAGCAGTCTCCAGATACTTTTAAGGATGTTTAAAGATTTAGGTGTAAAAATATTAAATCTATAAAAGTACTAGAAGAAAATATAATTTTGTTAAATAATTTCAGAGTGAGGAAGCCATTTTCAACCACAGAACAGGTTCTAGGAAGTATAAGGAAAAGATTGATGGGTCTGACTATATAATATAAACTTAAAACTCACATACAGTGAAAAAACTCAATATAGAGCTGCACAGCAAACGGCAAATTGGAACAACATAATCTCAACACATGCAACAGTAAAGGCTTAATGCCCAGACCTATGAAAGACCCCTAAATAGCTATAAGAAAAAGACACACAACTCAATAGAAACAGCAATTCAGAAAAGAAGCATAGTCAAAAACAATGAAGAAATGAGCTACCTCATTAACAGTAAATTCAAACCGCTATGAAATATAACCTCCAGTTTTTATGAAATTCCAAGGAAATGGACATTCTTGTTAACAGTTGATGAGAAGGCAAATAAGCATGATGTTTTTGAAAGATAATTAGCTTTCTTTTAATACTAAGTGTGTATACCATTCAACCCCTAAACTCTACTCCTAGGAAACTATCCCACAAGAAATAACAACACAGATGTCAAAATAGTAAGAATTTCTGAATTTTCTGAAATAGTAAATATTTCTGTGCAGCATTTTAATCAAATGATACATATGTTCTGCCTTAGGAAAAAGGAGCACAGTTTATTGTAACATAAAACATGCACATATACATACAAACACTTACACATTGCAGATCAAAATGAGCTGTCTACATTTATCTGACAGATGGTCTGTGTGTCTGTACGTGTGTATATACATACAAAAACACTTACGTATATCCTAGTAACAGCATAGGAAAAAGATTGGACGAACAGGCACCTAACTGTGATGATTCTTTGGGGGTCAGGGGATTGCTGGGATGATAAATTTTTATTTCAAACAAAGTATGCCAAATGACGCTTTCATTTATAAGATACCAAAATACAATGGCGTTCAATTTCACTCAGTAGCATATGCAAAGAATTGTCTCATTAACCTCTGAATCAGGCCTTTCACCTTTTGCTGGAATGGCTGACCTTGAGACCAAACACTAGAACCACCCATGGAACACCTGTTGAATACATTAATCCCCCTAGATGAGCCTTCCCACTTCTGTTCATTTCACAGAACTAATTTCTATGGCATTTTATTTTTACACAACATTGAAACCAAGATTGTCTTTGGTATTTATGAGGGCATTTACAAAAGGAACAGAGCAAATGCGGTTGAGACAGGTCACAATAATTCTCTCTGTCTCTCTGACACCCAGTGTTTCAAGCTTCACCTTCCTTTTACACATACTCAATTAAATTAAAATACAACGTGCAAAGAAAGCAATGGCGAAAGAATCTGAAAGGGCACTGCAGAGGTGAAAATCAAATAACCTCATATAAACCTTTCCTATTAAGAGTGAATATATTTAGATTTTTAAAAATAAAAACCCAGAATAATTATGAAAGCAAAATGCCACAGACCCAGATAGACAGGGAAAGAAAATAAAGGTGCTGTAAATCCACAAGGCCCATGGTGTTCACATTTCTTCTTGTTTTGCTCAGCTCTGAGCTGCTGGCAGGTGTTGACCCGAAGGGGAGTCTATCCAGGCACCCAGGTAGCACTGCTGGCCAGGTCAGATGCCACTGGAGGGAGGGTGGAAACACAGGTCAAGTGCTCTTGAGCCCCTCCCCATCTCTCACCCCAGCTCTTCATCGCTAAGTAGCTGGGAACTGACTACGTAGCATCAATTACACACGTACAACTCTGAGGAGTTGTCAGACTTTAGCCCTAATAGTGCCTTCAGTTTTTTTATGAGACTATGTAAATGAATGCCAACAGGGTCAATGAAGTGGCAAGTGCCATTTCTAACATTTAACAAAAGTGGCGTCATTTCCAGAGCTCTGCCCAGCTCTGACTCTTTCTCCTGGAGGGTGCAAAAAGAAAAACAGAAACTTTTCTCGAAGGCATCATATTTCAGACAAGTATTGTTTCAATTATGACATTTTGTCAAATTGTGAAGTTTAAAGGACAAATTGCCTCGGCCTATTCCTGCTTAAGCCTTTTCATGCCACTTATGGAAAATAGCCTGTGCTTTTAATGGGTATTTTGTCAGTTAATATTGCCATGGAGAGAGAACAAGCTGTAGCTTCCTTCTGCTGAGACTTGAAGCCCCATGAAGGACAGACTTGTCTGTTTTGTCCACTGCTTGTCTCTAGGTCTGCCGCACAAGTGTGTCCTTCACATTCACTATTGTTAAATAAGAATCTTCAGGTCGCCTTATAACTGCACACCCTCAATTGGATTAATTCTTATTAGTTTCCCCTTCCTGGGCTATAGAATTAGGTTAGTCATGACACTGAAGTTGCAAAATGCTTGACATAGAAAAGTGTGTATGCTCTCTGTCATATATGAAGAAGTCTTTATCTTTACATTTACAGAAATAGTTTATCGTAAAGTCTTGTCATTTGAGTCTCACCATGTCATCAGGACACAATGTGCCATAACTTCCACACATGCTTGTAGCTCAGAGTGCACAGTTTAGCCTGATGACAGCCTGCTGATTATTTATAAATTAACAGATCCAGTGGAAATATTATATCTTTTGTTTGGCAGAAATATATATTTTAATATGTCTCACTTGTTTTTGTAATCCATCTCATAACATGAACTTTAGAATATGTACTATGTATTTTTAAAGGTATTTCTTTGTTCCTTGATTGTGGTTTATTATTTTTCAAACAGCTTCAAAATTTCCAATTTCCAGAAGATTTTTAAATTTAAAGTGTAATTGTTTTAAAATACCAAAATTGGTGAGATTATTGAAGAAGATGATTCTCTCTACTCAGGAAAGCCACTTAAAATTGGATGAAATTGAGGAAGTACAGCAAAAGCTTAATTCTCAGGATATTAATCTAGGCTTTCTTTGGAACAAGAAGCAGGGCTGAGAAATTGCCCTCAGTTGTAAATGGAAAATGAGTTTAAGCATCCTCCTAAAGAATCATAATTTAGTTCTAGTCAGAAGTAGCTGAGCAGGAGAAAACTTGATTACTTAAAGGCACTAAGTATATTAGGAAACGAAATACAAATACCTTCAACCAGGGCCGCTGCTGCAGTCTGGCTGTGTAAGGTCTGGTATTCTGATGGAAACTGATAGGCTCCATTAGAGATGTCTATCATGTAGAAAATGAATTTAGGATGCCTTTGTCATTTCTCTTGTCTGTAGGCTGAGCTTTTTTAAAAATTGAGCTATATTCATGCAAGTTATATAACTTAATTTACTGCTGAAATGGAAGCTAAAGTGGTTAGTGCAGTGATACTCAGCCTCAGAGGCTTTAAAACACTGGCAGATTGTTCACACAGAATTGTGCCTGATTTGCCTGATGCATGCCATTAGGATGATCATGGACAAGATCTCAGACTGTCATTTAGCCAAAACTGTGTACATATTATGCATAGAACAACTCACCCAAAATTGATAGCTAATGGGAAAGTTTCCAACTAAATAAAGATTTGGAATCCATTTACCGCTCAGTAAGCTATTTTTGCTCCATATCATCAAGTTTCCAGAAGTAACTGCTCCTTACATATATTCTAAAGAACGTATAATAAAAAAGCCCAGTGACAAAATTTGATTTGATATATATCTCATCCATCTGTTTTTTTTGGTAGAAACCTAGGTGGTATGTGTTAAATGTTAAGTATAAGAGAATTCTCAATATTTTAAAAATAACTCAAAATATTGAGGAAAACACCTAAAACCCATTGATGATTGTGGTAGCTCAGGCTCTAACAGTTTCTTAAAATGTGTCCATGTACACACTGGGTTAGAATCACTGTTCTCATTTACAAGTAGAGCTTCCTAGGCCCCACGATTCTCATTCATTCCTTAAATGAGAATGGGGGGGAAGTTGGGGAAGGGTCTGGAATTTGCATTTAAACAATTTGAGCGCGATTTGAACATGCATTCAAATTCCAGAACCCCTGCTTTGATATTATGTCAATGATTTTGGAGGCAGATTTAGTCCCGTCACAGGACATTGTCGTTTTTTAGGTGCCCAGGTTTCTTGTGACTTCATCCATGAGATGGCATGTACAGTACCTGAGTACCTGCCACTGGGCAAAAAGATGACCAGGTGAGAGACGAAGGAATGAGACTGCAGCCCTCACCATCAGGGCACAAACACCCCAGTCTCACATTCCGTCAAGAGTCGTTCTATTACTTACATGTCATCCACTCTAGACAGTGCCTACATTTCAATGTTGAGCGTGTTCCTTGTTTTCTTATGATTAGAGGTGACACAGTACTCTGTGTCCAGTGGCCGCCCAGGTTTTTGAGGTAAGCAAACACTGTCCTCCTGATCAGCAGCCTCCATCTTCCTACTGATCACAGGGCAGCGTGGCAGTGGTTAGGAGCACGGACTCCACCTCTTTCCGACTGTACATCCTTGGCCAAGGTATCCAACCTCACACTCAGTTTCCTTCCTACCTCACACTCAGTTTCCTCCCTCAGTTTCCTCATCTACATCATAAGGGTAACAGTAGTTTTGGCTGTGAGGATTAAATGGGTTTATATTTACAGAATGCTTAAAACAGTGCTTGGCAAATTATAAGAGCTTATTTGGAAAAATAACAAGATTAGAAGGGGTGGATCATTCCAGAAAATTAAGGAATCAAAGAGAAAGATGGAGAGATTAACACCAATCTGGCAAAGGAAGCCTTCCAAAGAAAAGTGTACCTCATGTGTCTCTTATGGTTCCTGGGGACATAGTGGGACAAAAGAAGTAAAAGGAGAAATGGCAAAGGCAAAATAAGCATTGTCTTAGATAAGGAATGAGGGAACAATGAAGAAAACAGGGCTGCATAGTCACTTATATAACCACAAAGCCGCTTAGTCCTATGTGTGCCTTGACTATGTGTATCCCACTGGAATGAAGGTGGCTGCACTGAGCACCTTTGGGGGTGGAGGATGCTGAACAATGTTAGCAAACTGCATTGGATGTCACACCCAGCTTCCCTGTGTCTGTCCGGAGAACCCTCCTTTCTCCTGGTCTTCTATGCCCAACGTCTGGCTATTTCACTTTATTTTTTCTCCTCCCTTGGCCTTAAGTCAGGAACTAATTTTTCCCCACTTTGCCCTTCCTATGTCATTATTCTTTCCTTTCTTTCCTACTTTCTTTTCTGGTACCCTATTTTGAATGTGTGTCACCTTTAACTTCAGGTACATGAACAAGCTCTTAGCCAGTCTTTGGAAGCATCTGACCACAGCACCTCCACCACTTTTCTGTGCAAAACCCTTCAATGACCCTGCACAATAATGTCAAGACTTTATCAGTGATTTTCAAAGATTTTTCCCACTTTGGGCACAACGTGCCCTTCTAGCATCATCTCCCACTACTGGGCCTCTCCCCCATACCTAATCCTCCTCCTACAAGCCCTGCTCTTGCCAGGCTCAGCAAGCAGGTCCATGGACTGAGAGCACCTTTGCACTTAGCGGGTCCTTTGCCTGGGGTTGTGTCTGATCTGGCCCAGGAGCAGTTAGGGAAACGTTACTGGGCCAGAAGCACTGCAGGTGGGTGTACTGAGTTGAAAAGTCTCCCCGCAAGATCCATGTCCTTCCCAGAATCTCAGAGTGTGACCTTCTTTGGAAATAGGATTGTGTAATTAGTTAAGATAAGGTCCTACTGGAGTCGAGTGTGTCCTAATTCCAATACAACTGGTGTCCTCTTAAGAAGAGAAGGTACAGTCGGCCGGGCGCAGTGGCTCAAGCCTGTAATCCCAGCACTTTGGGAGGCCGAGGCGGGTGGATCACGAGGTCAGGAGATCGAGACCATCCTGGCTAACAGGGTGAAACCCCGTCTCTACTAAAAAATACAAAAAATTATCCGGGCGTGGTGGCGGGCGCCTGTAGTCCCAGCTACTCGGGAGGCTGAGGCGGGAGGATGGCGTGAACCCGGGAGGCGTAGCTTGCAGTGAGCCCAGATCACGCCACTGCACTCACTCCAGCCTGGGCGACAGAGCGAGACTCTGTCTCAAACAAAAAAAAAAAAAAAAAAAAAAGAAGAAGAGAAGTTACAGTCACACACAGAGGGAAGATGACATGAAGACAGTCACACACAGGGAAGAATGCCCCGTGAAGATGGACGCAGAGAGGGGGCCGATGCAGCTTCAAGCCAAGAAATGCTAAGGATTGCTGGCAACTACCAGAATTTGGAGAGGCGCATAAAACAAATTCTTCTCTTAAAGCCGTCAGAAAGGGTGGCCCTGTTGAGCCCTTGATTTTACACTATGAGACACTTGTTTTTAGTCACCAGGTTTGTGGTATGTTTTAAGTCACCAGGTTTGTGGTACGTTACAACAGCTGTAAGAAACTAACATGGCAGCTGTTGAATGTTAAGAGCCCTCAGCTGTGAATCGGAGCGATCCTACCTCCCTCACCACCGAAGAGTGTTGCAGGGATCAAACGGGCTAAGACGTGAGCGTGCTATTAGATGTGTAAAATTCTACACAAGGGTCGTTAAACTTTGACTTATTTTTTGAAAACCCTCCCATTCCCTTGCATAACCCCTACCACAATACTTTACCCATAAAATGCGTTCAATAGGCACGTGTTGAATGTTTTCATTTATTCATTTACTATATCACATTAATTTTATTTTAAAAGACCCAAACTTAGTCATAAGTAACATGGCTCATCTTCAAACTACTGCGTAGCCATTTGTGTGCAGCTTTGACTGCATGTGGTGTTATTTCAGAAAGATGTGATTTGGTTTGTCTAGCTGAATGTAAGTAATACATTCATTATAATACTAGCTTACTATATATTAATTTTAATATGCTCATGAAGTTAAATATCTGTGGATCTGAAAATAAGATTTATTTTATTTAAGATGAAAAAATTTGTTTTGACAAGATTGGCTGGTTTTATTTATGCCACTTACTAGAAATCTAATAAATACATATTTTATTTAACATGACTTTTTAATAGCATTCCTTTGAATTTACTCATCAGTAAATTTAATCAATCACCTTTTTAAGAAACAGAACAAACTTGCTAGTCCTAGCACCATAAGATGATCTCTTGCAAGGAAGTAAAGAAGAATCCAAACTTGAGTGCCAGGAATCATTATTGATAAGGTGAAGGAGAACAAGTTTCCCTTTTGATTCCCAACTTCTACTTGAAATATGACACCCAGAATGTGATTCTTTCTATATCCATTTCCTCTAAGAATCTTTGAGCAATTTGTGCGTGCCCTGTGGTTAATACAGCCTAGTCATAGCCCAGTGAAGCTGTCGGCAGTCCTGCTTAGAGCAGAAACACAGACCATGACAGTTACAAGCATGTGATCCACAGAGCCAGGAAAAGACCCTGAGACATAACCCACTTCTGTACCTCCTCAGTAGGAGCTATACTCAACTCATGAATTAATTTTGAGCTCTTAATGGCACTTATTAAATCCAGAAGAAAAATACCTAAATAATTCTTACTTATATTTAATAGCAATTTAGATTCCTGCAAGTGGGGACAAAAGCTTTATTTCACTTCCAAATGGACTTCAAATAACATCAATTGGATGTGCACTAGAAAAATATAATTTTAAAAGGTGTTCCCAAGAATTAGTAAAGAAGAAAAGTCATGGGAATTAGGGAGAGTAATTTCTAGGAAATTTTTATTGGCTGCTTTTGTCCACATGATATTTACAGTGTATGAGTTAGGTTAAGCTAGACTATACCAAAGTAACAGAATATACTACCAAATTTCAGTGGCTTAAGAATCAGTAAGTTGATTTATTTTTCAGGTTAATAGGCCAGTATTGGTCAGGTGCAGATGACTTGGGAGAAGAAGGATTTGCTCCATGCAGTTGTAGGGACATGTGGCCTCATGATTCTAGTCACAAGGTTGATGTTGTGGAGGAGGTTTTAATAGGCCAGGTCTGGAAGGAGTATGTATCACTTATACTTCTTCCATTGGCTAGAACTCAGTCACATGACCACACCTCACTGCGCAGGAATCTGGGAAATGTAGTTCATCAAACACTCAAGAATAAGTGGAACTGAATTTTAATCAATAACTACAAGTCTCTGCATCAAGGAGAAATGTGTACCTGATGTTTATCATGGAAGAGAAGAATAATTAGTTGACTTTTTGTGTATAATCCCCAAGCAAAAGAAGTCTGATTCATGCTAAATCTTCCTAAAACAGAAGTAGATCATTTGTGGGGAATATGTTATTAGAACACCCCTAGAGAGGAGCCTATTACCCAACTTCATTTTCCAGCTTCATTCTCTTGGCAGGAGACGTATTTCTCTTTCTGCCTGTCCACGGAGTCTGTGCCACAAGCAAAGAGATGCTGTATGTCTTGCCTATAAAGCAGGGCTGGGCTGCGAAGCTGTCGAGCCCGGTGCAAAATGGAAATGTGGAGCTCTTGATTCAAAAGCAGGAAAGCAATGTTACAAACTAAAATATAAAGCTTTTATCTTTCTTCCCCAGTCTCTCAATTTGCCATAGTGTTTTTTACTTGCTATTTAGCTGCATTCTAAGAAAAATTAAACATTTAAATATTGGCATGAATTTTACCGTTCATCTTAATATTGTGCAATTCCAATTTTAAACGTAAACATTTAAAACAGGGTCTAACTCATACGTGCAATCACTGAAACTAACTACACAATTTGAATTTCGTAACTTATATATGTGCATATACACTTTGTTCTTGCAAGAACAGCAGACATGTCGCATAAAACCAATTCACTTGTTTTTATTTCACTTCTTGAGACTCGCACATTCTACCAACATTCTACCTTCAGTTTACTGATGAATAAGGAAGAATGGAAAGGGAAAGAACTATGGGGTCCCCTATCTTTCCCTTCCGTTCCATGTCATCATTTCCTGCTTCAGTTGCTGGCTCCAACAAGAAAAGCACAGGAGTAAGAAAGGATATGATAGGGTTCATTGGTCACTATGTTTCTTAGAATGCCATTGCCTTCTTTCTGCATTCAAAGCAAGTTCTGGTTCAAACGAAAAGTTTGGCGTCTCGGGGCTGTAAGTACCCCTGCTTACTCAGTAGGAGATGTCACACATTTACCTTGACCCCTGCACACTGTGGGTTCACCAAAATTCTGTCTCCAATGGGCGTTGAAGAGACTTAAGCCACGCATAGAGCCCTTCTAAGTGCAGGGCCTCAAGCAACTTCATGTTCTGTACTATACTAAAGTTCTATACTAAAAGACACATATTTAGAGGAAGGATACCACAGACCAACACTGATGTCTACAGCAGCAAGAACTGTAGGACATGCCGTCAATTTTGTAATGGCTTTTAAGGGGAAAAAAATACTCTATTAATGTACATCTTAATTGGAAGGTGCATCCAAATTTCAGAAAAATGTAAAATAACAGGGGGAAAGCTTCAATTCCTGGAATTGTAGCACATCACATTCTTTTCCCTAATACCTACCTAACAACTACTACTACTAATGGACTAATATATGTTTTTAAATATTTCAAACATCCAGAAAAACATTGAGACTGATCTATGAATCCCTGTGTACCTACCAATCAACTTTATCAAATCTCAACAGTTTTTCCACATTTGCTTCACAAGATTCTTAAGGGGAAAAAAACATTTCGAATAACACCGACACCACCTGTGGACCCCTCCTGTACTTATTTGACCTCTCCTCCCTACTCTGAGGTGATGAGTTTCCTGAAATCATTCTTTATCATTCACACGCATACTTTTTTACTCTCAGTATATATATCTGTAACTAGAAACAATACATTTTTCACGTTGTGAATTTGATAAAGAACAGTATAATAATACTGTACATATCATTCTTCAACACGCTTTCTTATGCATCATTATTACTTTGAGATCTGTATTTCTACATGTGATTCTAGTTAAGTCATTTTTTTTTTTTTTTTAATTTTAGACAGAGTCTCGTTCTGTTGCCTGGGCTGGAGTACAGTGGCACAATCTCGGCTCACTGCAGCCTCCACCTCCTCGGTTCAAGCGATTCTCCTGCCTCAGCCTCCCAAGTAGCTGGGACTACAGGCACACGCCACCATGCCTGGCTAATTTTTGTATTTTTAGTAGAGACGGGGTTTCACCATATTGGCCAGGCTGATCTTGAGCTCCTGACCTCGTGATCCACCTGCCTTGGTGTCCCAAAGTGCTGGGATTCCAGGCATGAGCCACAGCACCCAGCCTTAGTTAAGTCATTTTAATAACTAACTAGTGTAATTGCATAAATATACCCCAATTTATCCATTTATTTGATTGTCATTTTAAATGTTTCTCCTTTCTCTTTATTATAAACAATGATTCGGGAAATCTTCTTCCGCATTTCTCTTAGTATATGTGAGCTGGAGTGATTTTAAGGTAAATACCTAGAAGTAGAAATGCTGGGCTGAAAGTTATGTGCATCATATCTTTACCTTTTCTACATGTGGCCAAATGGCTCTCCGATCTACAAGCCCAGAGGCAGTGTGTGAGGTGCATCGCTCGACAAGCCGGCTGACGCTTGTAAATGCCCAACATCTGAATCCTTGTTAAACACAGAAGTGCAAGATGTATCTTTAAATTTGCATTTTTCCCAATGACTAGTGAAGTTGAGCATCTTTTCTTGTATTAATCAAGTTTCTTTTCTAAAAATTGCCTATTTCAATGCTTTGTTCATTTTTTTCTGGGTTATGTATCTACTTTTTATCAATTTGTGGTATTTTATTCATTATGAATACTACTGTTTGGTCATATGTGTTTGCAGACTTTAGTTTTTGTGCCTATTTATTCGGTCTTTTACAAAAATAAGATTCTAAGTTTAATGTCATTAGATTCATCAAAATCCTCTCTTTGTGATTTCGGATTTTTGTACCTTGATTAAGACAACCCTCCATTCCCTGACATAGTAGTGTCATTGTCCCAATCTCAATTATTGACAGCATCACCCTAACTCCCTGCTCTGCCTCTCTCTGATGTGAAGTTTCCCTTTGTGCATGTGTTTTCTGCTTTTCTTGTTTTACCCACTGCAGGTATACAGTCCCTCCATCTCCTTCGAAATTATCTGGTCTGTTCTTAAACCTTTGTGTTTCTATTTGAATTTGAAGATCAACTTGTCAAGATCCATTTTAAAAATCTTGCTGGAATTATTTTTTGGAATTGCTTAGATTTACAGATTAGTTTATGGGAAATTTCCACGTTTAAGAGATTGAATTTTCCCTTCAGAAACAAAGTGCATATCTCCATTAATTTAGAATTTTTTATACTTCATTCATGTTTTTAAATTTTTTCCATAAAGATTTGCACAGCTTTCGTTAGTTTCAGGGTTCATTTTTTGAAAACACTTTGCTGTTTACTACAGTCCTTAGATTTCCTCTGTAACATAATCTCTTAAATTTATTCATAGTTATAACGGAAACTGTTGTACTACACCTTGATTTTTTGCCAATTTAGGGATTACTGAATGAACTAATGCAAAATCCATTTTATGCCAATCTATACACTTGGTTTTGAATAATTTATTCAACTAAATACTTTCTAAAGAGAATCATATGCGATGAATAAAAATATCTTGAATAGATTGGAAATGTTCCTGTTTTGTTTTCATTGTAAATGCATACTAAATGCGTTAACAACATAGAAAGATTCTGGGTTCTAGTAGATTCCTCAAATATAAACACTTTGGATGCACCACTGTTTCAAAAGATGAATAGTTTAAACGGAACTCCTATTTACAGCCATGTTTGCAAATGCATTTTTTACTTTAACTATTCTGAGATATAAAAATAAGCACAGAGATTTTGTGATAGCTTTGCAACTAGCAGTATTTTTGAAACATGAAATAGGCGTTTTGTCTGGAGAAGCCTTATCTATCACAGTCCATGTCTGAAATCACAGTTGTTTAATGAACTCTGTTTTATGGAAGCTGCCGATGCCTCATTCGTAAGTCTCCCCATTCTTTCCAATGTCACACAGACTTTGGAGATGAATTTAAATTTCATCATTATCCATGACCTACAATGTGTGCATTGACCATACTAGATTTTCCCTTTTTGAATATATTCCCAACACTGCAACTCCCTGCCCTGCTTTATTGTTCGCTTGCCAGTCCTCGGCATCGTTTTATTCCTCCGGCATTTTAAACAAAATAAAGATCCAGGCTTATGCTGAGGCAGTGCTGAACAAACCCACCAAAATCCTCAGAACTCCATCCATTCAAAGAGGAGCGCCAGGATTTCCCAAGCGACAAGAACAGGGCGAGCTCTCCGATCCTTTCTCCATCCCCCCAAACCTCCCCTGGCTCTCGAGAACACCGTCAGTACTCCCTAATACCCCGTGCTCCAAATCCGGAGCTCGGTCTCCACCCGGCCGCACTCCAAGTGACAGCAATAATAGCTGGTGTTTCTAAAGTGCTTACTGGTACCAGGGGCTGCATCCGTGTAGACTCATTTAATCCTCACAGCCCTAAGAGAGACACGTTTGACAGATGGAGAAACTGCTCCGGGATACTCCGTCGGGGAATGGCAGGAGCTGGCCCCACAGCCCGGCCTGGCGCCACCGCGCACTGCCTGGGCCCTGCAGCTTGGAGCAGGCCCTGAGTGGGCTCCCTGCAAATATTCTCATGCTCCCTTCTCACCACCGCCCTGCAAGGGGCATGGTACTGAGCTCACCGTTTTACAGGTGAGGAAGCCACGGCTCAGCCTTCCGAGTCTCCTCTACCTGAGCCTCAGAGCCTGGCTCAGAGGCTCTGTGCCCAGAACGACAGTACATAAGAAGGAGTGGGGGAGCCTGTCGGAGCCGCCTGGGGCATTAGCAGATCCAAGTTCCAAATTTGGAAAACTTAAATCGAGTTACAAACCTGTCATCAATTTGACAGTAATGTTTTTATAATTACACATTGTGATACTTACCTGCATTATAAAGCAATTTAAATGTTGTTTTGTTTAACACCTCAGCTTGGATCTGGACGTTTTTCTAACTTAAGAACCAGAACAACGGTCACAAATGGGCTCCTGAAGAATGTTTCAGAATGCTCTGTTCACAACCATGGGGGCGTATCTGCCACCTCTGCCCCCAAATGGACAATCCGTCAGTGTGATAACCCATCTTCTAGAATGGTAATTAACTCGAGAAGAGGCAGTCCCCAACCTTTTTGGCACCAGGGACCAGTTTCATGGAGGACAATTTTTCCAGTGAACAGGGGAGAAGGTGGTTTCAGGATGAAACTGCTCCACCTCAGATCATTAAGCATTAGATTCTCATAAGGAGCAAGAAACCAAGATCCCTCACATGCGCAGTTCACAATAGGGTTCATGCTCCTCTGAGGATCTGATGCTGCTGCTGACCTGACAGGAGGCGGAGCTCAGGCAGTAATGTGTGCTCGCCCACTGCTCACCTCCTGCTATGCAGCCTGGTTCCTAACAGAACGTGGACCTGTACCACTCTGTGACCTGGGGGTTGGAGACCCTGCTTGGAGATGTTCTCCTTTATCCCTACCTGTTCATTGCAACACTGAATAAAAATTTAACTGAAATGTTCATTATAATTCACATGCATTCAAATACTTGGTTGTACTTGGGTAACTGTCAGAGTTTCCTATATTACCTCACTGCTCTAGCTTTGTCTTTTGTTCCATTCCATACATCATTTCTAGACTAGTCATCCAAAATGAGTGTTAGAACATGAGTTTAGAGTCATATAGACCGGCCATATCCTGACTCCATCCTACACTGCCCATATTAGTTTCCTGTGGCTGCTGTAACAGATGACCACAAACTTGGTGGCTTGCAGAATGTGTTCTCTCACAGTTCTGAAGGCCAGAAGCTCAACATCAGCTTCACTGGGCCGAAGGCAAGCTGCGGGCAGAGAGAATCCATTCCTGGCCTCCCCCAGCTTCCACTGCTACCAGCATTGCTTGGCTTGTGGCCACACCACGCAAGTCCCTGCCTCGTCTTCACATTGCCTCCCGCTCTTCTGTGCACTGTGTCCAAATCCCCCTCTGCTTCCCTCTCATAAGGACACTGTGATTGAATGTAAGGCCCATCTGGGTAAGCCAGGATCCTCTCCTAGGATCCTTAACTTAATCACATTTGCAAAGACCCTTATCCTAATAAGGTACATTTATAGGTTCTGGGAGTTAGGACCTGACATCTTTCTGACCATGGGTCAACCTGTGTGATTGCAGGGAAATTATTTAATCTGTCTATTTTCAGTTGTTTTCACTGTCTAATGGGTATCTGTTTCACAGGGTTGCCTGAGGCTCAGAGGAGACAGTTGACATAAAGCACTTACTGCAATGCTTGGCAAAAAAAAAGAGAAAGCTTTTAATCAATAACTATTTGTTTTGTTTCTATATACCAAAAGTTCAGCATCTCTCCATTACTTTCTGTCTTAATCCCTTAGTCTATTAGGTTGGTGCTAAAGTAATTGCAATTGCCAAAGTAATTGCCGTTAAAAGTAATTACAAAAACTGCAGTTACTTCTGCCCCCACCTAATAGAAATCCCTATGTCCATCATCTAGTTCCAACAATTTTCCCAACCTTGTCTTTTACTATTTTCTTTGTAGACTTTCTAGTCTAACTAGATGCGTTTGCTAAGGAGTCCCTCAACTGAATGTTCTTGCTTCTCCCCTTTGTGTCTTTATTCTTTGTTGCTCCTGCCTGTGAAAGTTGACTCCTTCCTCTTTGCCTATCCAAGTACTGTCCCTTCTGCCAGGACGAGCCCCATTCTCATCCTCTCCTTGAAGCTTTCCCCAGTCAACCCAGCCCAGGCTGGTCTCTCCCCTTGAGGATGATCAGCTGCTCTCCATGATGCTGCCTCGCTCTTACCATGATGGCTCTATACACGTAGACCAAGCTGCATATAGACATTTACATGCTATGTACGAAGCACGCAGCAATGATGGATAAACCATTGCGACAGAGAACCCCAGGAAGTCAGACCTGGGCTCAGAGACTAAATTAACATCTTAGATCCCTAGGCCAGAAACAGAGTAGGCAGTGAGGGGGCCTGAAGCCTCAGGCCTCCTGAGATCTCAGTTGAAAAGCAGTCCGTGGTGGCTGAGAGCCTGGCCTCCATGGGGTAGAGAGGATGAGAGTCTCCCTGTGGGGTGGAGTACCAGGCCAGGCCTGCTGCTCAGAGGCAGAGGCCAGAGTGGAGTCTTTCACTAAAAATGAAAATAGAAATAAAATAAAAATCTGCTGCCAATGCCATCTGCTGCTG
This sequence comes from Homo sapiens, assembly GCF_000001405.40. Classification (NCBI taxonomy): domain Eukaryota; kingdom Metazoa; phylum Chordata; class Mammalia; order Primates; family Hominidae; genus Homo; species Homo sapiens. The sequence continues at coordinate 163,140,499 of NC_000006.12, forward strand.
GACTGGAGGCTCTAGGAGTTGAGTGCAGACAGCCACAAAACTACTAGCTGGGAAAGAGAGAGCAACAATTGAGAAGGAGTGAAAGAAATGGGGAAAAACCCTTTTCCTTCTAAAATAAGTCTGCAAATAAAAAATTTCATAACCCATGAAGAATTTCCATGCTAAAAAAAGGCAGCCCACACAATAAAAATTTAGAACACATGTTCATTCTGTTATTAAAATAAATTCCTATAACAGCATGAGAGGTCCCGAAATCATGCTAGATATCCAAAGAAATAAATAGGATAAGTTCATAAAAGTAAAAATAAATTATTTTTTGAAAAGGATAGAAATCTTGAAACAAGAGCAGACGAATCTGAAGAAGAACAAATGATAAATTGGGTTAAATAAAATAAGAAGCTGCCCAGGGAGGATGGAGGTTAACGGCATCATGATGGGAGAGACGAATGAGCTGAAAGCTGCTCTTCGAATTGGAAGTGTATTTCCAATTGAGAAAGATTAAATATGTAAATTGTATCCTAAGCACAGTGTGATAAAACTGAAAAACATTAAAGACAACAAGAAAATATTTAGGCCACCAAAGAGAAAAGGCAGACGCCACAAAGACCCACTGGATCGTCAGTGGAATTATCAGCAGCCCGAGACACAAGGCAGTGGGTTGATATCTCGAGTGCTGAGAAAAAACAAAAGCAACTACCTAGAATTTTACACACAGTTAAGATATCACCCAAGAGGGAAGGTAAAATAAAGACAATTTCCGACATACAAAGATGAAAAGAGTTCGCCAACTCTACTTAACTCTAAGTAAAATTACAGCCGAAGTGAGTACATTAGTAAGAAGAACAAACCCACAGCTAAGACTGAGATACCAGAAATAATGGCAAGTCCCAAAATTGATAAAATGTCAGTAAGACTTATGAACTATAGGATTTTTGTAATGTATGTGTTTTTTTTTTTTTTAAAGCCAAACTAACACTCCAGACAACAATGGCAGGATGTCAGAGGAGTTTTCAGTCGTCAGCCAAAGCTTTGTTTTATCTGGAAGAAAGTTAAAAATATTTAATCACTATGGAATTTCCATACCTAAAACCATGCTAAAAGATTTAAAGAAAAAAAATGAAAAATCCATATTAAGCTAAAGAAACATAAGGAGTAATAGTAAGATCAGATTAAAAAAAAGCATTAATGGAGAAAAGAGGGGCATCGTAGGATAAGAAGAAGCAAAATCCACCAAAATGACGTAAAAATCATGATCCTGTATTATCCTAACAATATAGCAGAAACATGTAAAGTAAAAGCTAACAAAGTGATAAGAAAACTGGACAAATCCACAAAGTAAAGGATCATAACTCTAACAGATCAAATAAAAAATTATTGAGGATATGGATGATTTTTTAGTAAGAAAATTAACAGGTGAGTTTTGACATATAGAGAATTCTGCACCCAGTAGCGATAGTCCTTTGTATGCTCCTAGAACATTTACAAAATTGACCATGAAGAAGATTAAAATTTCAACAAATTTAAATAATTTATATTATTTAAATGATATTCTCTAGCAACTAAAAAAGGTACAACTAAAAGTATAGTGTTTGAAATGAATTTATAATTCATAAGCTAAAGCACTGGATGAAAATAAATGTAGACCATTCAATTTAAGAATTAGAAAGTGAGCAACAAGGTAAATGCAACAAAACCAGAAATAAACAAAAGAGCAAACATTCATGAAATAGATGTCAAGGAAATGGTAAAGAGGATCTGCAAAACAAAACCAGGTTCTTTGAAATAGCAAATAAAATACACGTTTCACCAAGAATGAGCACAAGAAAAAAGTCACAAGTAAACAGTAACTCATTCATAAATCAATGCAAATGAATTTGGAATTCAGTTGAAAGAAATAATTTACTAGAAACATATAAATTACCAAAAAATAGAAACCCAAAATAAGCCAATAAACATTAAAAAAATGAATAAGTAATCAAAAGCTTCCCCACCAAAAAGAAGTCACATACCCAGTTCATTTTACAATCAATTTTTTCTAAGTATTTAAATATCATTTCTTTCTCTCAAACTATTCCAGAGAACTGAAAAAGAAGAATCGAAGAAGAAGGTAGGATAACTTATGTGAGCAAAAGACAGAAAATATATGAACATAGTTGTAAAAATCCTAAGTAACATGTTGTCATATTTAAAAAATCCTAATAGATCAGGATGAAGTAGGACTGTCCTTGGAATGGACGTGATCACTGTGTTCCCAGAGCCTTGCTATGTGGTTTGAGAAGGGCACTGCACCCTGTGATATTCTCTCCATAAAACATAACCCCAACTTCATGATGAGAAACTCATCAGACAAACCCAACTGAAGAAATTCTACAAAATACCAGGCCAGTATTTCTCAAAACTCTGAAGATCATGAAAAATAAAGACCAAGAATCCGTCCTAGAACAGAGGAGACTCTGGAGACCTGAGAACTAAATGCAGGGCTGTATCCTGGTGGAATCCTGAAACAGAAAGAAGACAGCGGTGGAAACGCTGGCGAAATCCAAATGCTATCTGAAGCTTAGTTAAAAGGAATATGTTAACGTTGATTTCTTAGCTTTGACAAATACAAGATTTAATACAAGATATTAACATTGGAGAAACTGGGTGAGGGATGCAGAGAGCTCTCTGTACTATCTTTGCAACTCTTAGTGTTAGTAAATCTAATACTATTCCATAATAAAAAGTTTATAAAAAAATAAAAAGTTCATAAAAAAATAAAAATAAAACACCTCAACAGCTACTCATGATGGAAACTCTTAGCAAACCACAAAGGGAAAGGTGTCTCAGCTTGATGATGGTGTCCACCATGGCTTCGTGGTTTCCAACGCATAAGTAGAGGTTTTATTTCACACGTTGTAGTGAGGATTAAATGAAACAATATGTATGCGATGTCTTATGAATTAATATTATTATTCCTGTGATCCCAGAGCAACAACATCAGAAGTCGGCTTGTTGCTTTAGCGCAGAGTTCTTGGCCTTCTTTATGCCATGCAGCACTTGGACAGCCCAGGAAGGCCTTCAGACCACTTCTCAGAATGTCTGCCAATGCATAACACACAATTCATGTAGTTACTCTGTGTGTACATATACAGTTGTTAAATCACAATAATACTTTTTTTGATATTGAACTAAACTTCCATTCTAAGGATAGCCCTATTTGGTCACCATGTGTGGCTGAGAAATCAACAGGCCTGGGCGACGTCAGCAAGGAGGTGAGGCAGAGAGAAGAATCCACGTCCAATGCCAGGGCTGGGTCTCATGGGTGGGTGGGAAACTCAGGGCAAAGAGATCCTGAGAGGGGACGGGGAGGAAAGACCAAGAGGTCGGTGTGGGAACTTGTTGAGTTTGAGTTGAATGATGTTTCCAACTGGATATTTTTCATAATTGCGTAATCTTTTCTGAAAAGTAGTTTTCAGGCCAGGTGCGGTGGCTCACATCTCTAATCCTAGCACTTTGGGAGGCCGAGGTGGGTCCTGAGGTCAGGAGTTTGAGACCAGCCTGGCCAACACGGTGAAACCCCATATCTACTAAAAATACAAAAATTAGCCAGGTGTGGTGGTGCATGCCTATAATCCCAGCTACATGGGAGTCTGGGGCAGGAGAATAGCTTAAACCTGGGAGGCAGAGATTGCAGTGAACCGAGATCGCACCACTGCACTTCAACCTGGGAGACAGAGTGAGACTCCGTCTCAAAACAAAAAAAAAAAAAAAAGGGAAAAGTAGTTTTTAAATCTTTTGACTGACCATGCACTCACTCCATCAGTTTAAAAAATTATGCATGAAAAGCAACACACATACACACACATACATACACACACACACACACACACACAGTTATATTACTGCAACAACGTGGGTTAGTAATATGTAATGTATATTACAGTACTAACGTTTGCATAATGAAAACACACGAATAAAAATTGTAAAGGATGATGTTAAAGGTAATACAGGCCGGGTTCAGTGGCTCATACCTGTAATCCCAGCACTTTGGGAGGCTGAGGTGAGTGGATCACCTGAGGTCAGGAGTTCGAGACCAGCCTAGCCAACATGGTGAAACCCCATCTCTACTAAAAATACAAAAATTAGTTGGGCATGGTGGCGCATGCCTGTAATCCCAGCTACTCAGGAGGCTGAGGCATGAGAATCACTTGATCCTGGGAGATGGAGGTTGCAGTGAGCCAAGATCACGCCACTGCACTCCAGCCTGGGCGACAGAGCGAGACTCTCTCTCAAAAGAAAAAAAAAGTAAGCACAGATATAAGCATTTTTCTCTCTGCATCCCTTTGATTTGGTGAGCTCCAGGCAGTAACATCAGGTACAGATGTAAAGTCTGAAAAAAACAGAGGAGTTGTGTCTGCAAAGGATCACTTTCACAATGAAAGACTAGAGCAGGTAGAGAGATTGGGGACCCCTCCCACCCTCTTTTCCCCATCCCCTCTGAGCCCTGCTGATGTTGAAAGGTAGCTGATGCCTCATGCTTCAGCTCTGAGCTTTACTGCTATTGATGCTACATCTCAGTGAGTTCTGGCTTGGAGACCACTGGTCCCACCCAACCCACCATGAGAGACGATTTGTGAAAACAGCCCAGAGTCTGGAGTCTGAATGCCTTGGTTTGATTCTGGTCTCTATCCCTTTCCAGCTAAATCTTACATCTTAGACAAATCATTTGATCACTCCAAGCCTTGGTTTTCTCATTCATAAACTGGAGGTTGTATATTTCTTTTCACAGTGTAATGAGGATTAAATGAGACAATGCAAATCAAAGTGATTTGTGAGCTAGAATGCCAGGAACTACACCAGCATTTGTTGTTACTTTTTGTATAATCAAACCTAGTCATGCAGTGTACATTTTCCTGTCTACATCTTCCATCAACTGTAAATACAATGGGTCATATTCTGCCTAGGTCCAGAGGTGGCAATAATTCTGCAATCATTAGGTTACCTTTTCCTATCCACAGCACTTGTTTTCCTGTCCTATGCAAAACACTGGTTTTCAAGCTGGGATGATTTTCCCTCCCAGGGGATGTTTGGTTGCTCCCAGTGAGGGTGGGGATACAGTACTGGCTTCAGCGGATAAAGGCTGGCCATGCTGCTGAACATCCCACACTACACAGGACAGCGCCACCACAAAGGACAGAAAGCGTCAGTACCTGGAGCGGTTAATCCATCCTCTGAACCGACTGGGATGACGGGCATGGAAGTTTTGGTTGTTGATCTTTACTCCTCAGTTGAATCCCATTTTCTGTTAGAGGTTACTTACCTACATTAGCAGAAGGCCCTGGCCTGGCTTTGGGTGTGTCTAGGGGGCACTGACGCCTACCGGAGATGGGAGAGGAGAAGGAGACCTGCAGGGTGAGATGAGAGGCGGTGAGGAGAGAGAGCTGCTGGCTCTGCCTTCACTTACGAATGTAACCTTTCTAACATGTATTAAGTCTCTGGTGGTGAAAACCTCAAAATTATTGAATTTCAGTTTTGTATAAGTAGCAGTCACATTTTACTGCTTTCCCTTCTTCTACTGTTCTCTTCTCCCTTCTGTTTAGTTCTTCTGACTCTTTTGAAGTTCAAAAAGCCTTATGTACCAGATCATCACTCTTCCGTTCTCCCTCTTCTTCTTTCTTTTATAAATCTTTGTGCATGACACACATTTAATGACCAGGAGATGCCGTCGGTAGCCTTGTGTCCATTTCTGGAATCCCAAGACTTGGCTTTCACCACCACTTCCTGACCACAGCAAGCAGTTACCAAGGGCAATGGAGATACTTTCATTCCTAGCCTTGGCCACTTACCCTGGTGCCTTCTGTTGATTTTCAGAATCAGAAGTCAAGTTGATCATCTGAATTATGAGTTATTCAGTCTAATGGCAAGGAAATTAATAAGACAAAGTCGTGAAACTCCCATCTGTCTCCAAGCTATCTACTTGTGGATGTTTATCAAGCTAAGAAACTTGCCATATGTGTAACATATTGTCTGAAGGAAAAGAAACTCTCTACTTTTTTCTAGAAAATCCTGACATTGTATGTTGTGTTTTTGTTCCACCTTATTAAATGGCCTTCTCTTCTTGTCACAAGTAAATAAAATGGCTTCATCCTGTTCATCTTTCTCTGTTAGCTTTCCATAATAGTAATATGAATGGTTTCTGTTTACATGGGGTGTTCAACCTCACTCCTCAAAGGATCTAATAACATCTTTTAAGTTCAATCTGTTCTTGTATTTTGCCTTACAAACTAACATGTTTTTAAATGTCTTTTCAGAAATGATAAACTTGAATTTTTCTCATGGTGGCTTTTGTCCAAACATCTCTAATTGTTTTGGAGATAATATCCTATTCATTTTCACAATATTCCTCTGAAAATGTAGGCAATATTATGCCACCTTGCGCATGGTCAGACCACAGCATGTGGGAGTTGATTAACTCTCTTTTTGCCATGCTTCTACATTGCTCATCCCTTTTCCATTCTGTTAGCACGTGGATGCTATCAATTCTCTTCTAATCATCCTTTGCAGTTAGCTGAATACCCCTTATGAAGTTTATCAGCCTCAACTCCTGTGATAGTTCCTTGAGGACATCTTATCCTCCTTCATTAGCTTACAGGGTCAGTCTCCTTCTCTGATTGGTTTAGGACCATGTGCTGAACTCTGCACATATGATCCACACAGTTCAATGTATATAATTACAAAAATGTCTAAGACCCAAATTAAAGGAAGCAATATGAGCATTACAAATGGATGCATCATTGAACACACATATATTTATTTCTCAAATATAGAAAAATGAAAATGTAGCATTCTTATAGGATGATAGTAATATATTTGTTTTCAATGTGCTTTTCTTATTTATTTAATCCTCATGAAATCTGACTATATAAGCAGGGTTGCCATGCCCAACTTAAAGATGAATGAACTGAGACTCAGAGGCTGGGTTGCCATCCCAGTGTCTCCAATCTTGCAGGAAATACAGTATCTCCTAACAAATTCCAGTGATCACATGGCAGTTCTTTCTATTCTGACTATAATATTTTCTCTGAAGCTCTATTCACCAATCTTGCCTTCATGTTCACCTCCCTCATATCTCACTTTCCTAAAACCCACCTTTTATCACATGTCTTCCCCCAAATCACCAATAGTTAGCAAATGTTCCTCAGAGGGAAATAAAAAGTATTGAGCATGTGAGTTACAGCCTTCCATAATATGGGAGTTTTGTTCGCCTAGACCTTCCTCTTGCACAGCCTTTCTTTTTGGGCACACTGGGCTGTTCACTATCCCAGCCACGCTTCACATCTCCCAGCCCCGGGGAAGATGCTACCCCCTTAGCAATGCCCCTCTAGCACCTTTCTTTACCAACCAGAATAGAAATGGACTCACAGAGACTCATTCACTGCCTGTTTCTTCAGCATTTTATGCCCCTTTCAATCCTCCGTGCTGCCTCATACATTTCTTCTACACAGTAGACATTTGGTTAATACTCATTATCTGGTTGATACCACTGAAAATATGAAATTAGGCAGGAAACTCACTCTGAGGACAAGACGATGTCTACTGTAATCCACCTGCAGACGTGTTAGAAATTTGCACTAAGTCACAGATGCTTATAGTGTGTGTGTTGAGGGCGGGTATTCTTACCAGATTTTTCTTTAATGCTGCAAATTGGCAGCCTGAGTGTTTTGAGCATCCATGGCCATTAGAGGCAGTCTTTCAAGGGGAGTTTTCACGTCAGTCATCTCTGTGCCCTCCCACTGTACTGAAAACAGTGTCTGGTATGTATTATGCACTGTAAGAATATTTTTACATTTTTTTCATTGAATAATTCATTTAAATTTGATATACAAAGGGATCCAATGCAAACTTTCATTGAAAGGCGTGATCCTGGAGCCTGTTATAATGTGTGCAGGCCACATCTGGCCATCACGGGCAGGTTCGCATCTCACACAGAAAACATTTCTAGCCAGAGAGCTGCATGGAAGCCCACCACCCTTCCCTTGAGAACACACTGCTTTATGAAAGAACAGGACAATGGCATCTCAACATCCATACATTCCTCTTCAGACTCAAGTAGTGGCATACCCAGTATTCCACTGCAGGATAACACTCAGAATATGGAAAATCGGTCCCAGTGACACAGCTTTTCTCTGCACAGTAGCTAGCTCCTCTCCAGCTCTTTCCCATCTGCCTCCAACTTTGCGTGTCCATTTCTGCATGAGATGGAGCATGCGAGAACATACAGCACACAGACCCTAAGCAGCTCCCAACACTGGAAATACCTTCCTCTCTCCTGAACGTGCTCTGTGCAATTGCAATGAGAGATTCCAGCGCCACTGGTAACTTACACTTGGTACCAACCCATAACTGGCTGCTGCACAACTGACCGGTGATCCATGCACAGTATTCTCGTGGAAGTGAATGAGGGTTTTGTGAAAAATCTATGGCGGGGGGGGGGGGGGGGGGGGTGGAAAAATGTCCCTGACGTCTGTTGAAAACAGTCAGGCCCTGCTGGAGGGAATTGTGTCACTGTCGACTGGCTCTGTTAGGAGGAAACAGTTTCCAGGCCCTGCAGGGCCGTGGCTGGCTTCCTTCCCCTTCCTTGAAGCTCCTGCCCCGGCCCTGCCACCTCCCGCAGACCGAACCCTCGCTGTCACCTCCCCTTCTGCACAGTCCAGGCCGGTCGGGTGTCCTCACTCCCTCCTTCTCCTGCAGAGCTTCCGGAGGGGACGCCTCCCGCGGGCGCTGGCCGCTTCCCAGGCCCCGGCCCTCCCCAGGCCTCTCTCCCCGAGGCTCCAGCCGGCTCCCCCTTCCATCCTCCCCAGCGCACTGGCCCGTCTGCCCTCCTCGCTCAAGTCTCCACCCGGTAGATTTAAAAAGTGAAAAGCCAAGGCCACGTCTATGTGCGGCCTCGCCCTCCTTCCCTGCGAACCCTGGAGAACACGGCCTTGTGATGAAGCAAACCCCAGTCTCCTCGCTTTGCATGGGCTTTTCTATCCACCGCGAGCTGAAACTTCTCCCTAAAGCAACCGCGTCTCCAGACTCCTGGGCGCTTTCCCTTCCGACTCCCCGACCCCGCGAGCCTCCCTGCAGGCCCCTTCTCCTCCCTCCCCCGGGCTGCGGGTGCTGCCCGCACAGCCTCCGCCCTCTGGGCGCTCCTATCCTTCGCACTCCAGACCCGCAGCCCCAACCCAACACCTGTGAGCTCCAGAAGCTGTCTCCCCCGACCCCGGGCCAGCCTGGAGTCCCTGCTGCGGATCGGATCCCCGGTGCAGGCCTCCCTGCCAGCAGCGCAGATCCTCCTTCCCACCCTGCGTTTCCTACCTGGGTCCTGTTGCTCCCGTTGGCTTACGGAAAGGAAACTCGGTCTCATTTCCATTTCTGTAGGAAACTCAGAGATGCCTGGGACTCCTCCCGCCCTGGGACTCCCCACTCTCCGTAGTTCACACAATTTAAAGTTCCCCATTTTTAATTTTCCCTGCGGGACTGTCTAGCTGTGCGTTAGTTCAATCCTTCTTTCGATGGTTTTCTCACTGGGATTCCTGTTGCTAGTCCTCTCCCTGGCCCTCAACCCGCAAACCGGCGATGTTCTTCCTGACGCCGGAGTGGCCTCTACCTCGCAGGCTGTGGAGGTCTGCCACCTGCCAAGTAACACCACGTGTTTCTTAACCTGCGCCTCAGTTTGATCATCTATGCAAAGGGGGAGTGATCACATCTAGCTAATACGAGTGTTGTGAGGATTCAGTACGTTATCATAAATCATGCCCCAAGGGCATCCCGGAGCTAAACAAGGCTAGGTAGGAGTTAGTGCTGTCCCACTTGTCAGATCCCAGCAGGACACACCAGGCCGCCCACTGGCTGGCTCTAATCCTCCTCTACAGGCTTCTGTCCCTCTGGGACCTTACCTTCCTGCTCCCTCGCCTGTGCTCACACTGGACCACTCCTTGTCCCTTGACCATGGGGCCGTCTCCATGCCCCAAGGAAGATGTTCTCTTCTCTGTCAGGAACATCTCCCTCCTGTCCCCCAGCCATGGGAGTTTAAAGTCAATTCAATACCACCTTCTTCAGAAATCCTTCCAGGCTCAAGTTCCCCCGCCTCTTACCCTCTAAGAACAGGAAAACCCGTGGAATTATTTGCTCCCTCTGTGCTCCTACCCGTACCCGGGTCATGATTTCAGCCCAGCAATTGTAACGATCCATTGGCGGTTACCCCGCTTGGTAGTGACTGCTTTGACCAGTGAAATCTGGATCCAACAGTCTTGAGGGTCACTAGACCACTGAAAGGCGAGCAGTAGGTGGCAAAGAAATACTGGCTAAATTTAAATTTTTGAAATTATAAATTTTGGAAATCATGACCTAGGGTAATGTTTTCTGTGCTGGGTTTTATCTACATTATTATTGGTTTGGGGTGTTTGCTCTGCCCGGGAACTTCAAAAACCAGTTTCTGACCTTCTTTTAAAAGTAAATCTCTTACTTAAGATTGAAATATATTAAATTCCTTTATTTTTGATGAGGAACCATAAGTAAACAATGGATGGATTTTTAAAACTTTTACATCTCAAAGAAGACATGAAAATTGAAAAATACCCACTTTGCTTTAACATGACTGCAATTTGATAAACTTTTATTTGCAAAAGAATATACAGAATCTTTATTTTAAAGACTTATTTAGTGGAGCTGAAATCTCACCATTGTACTCCACTAGAATGAAACCTTTGTTGGCCCGGATCTTGGTTTTTGTTGTTGTTGTTGTTTTTAATTCCTTGCTCTTTAGACTGTTGTTTAAAATCTTATGTTTTTTAATGTGTTACCAAGGAGAAAATGTGAGAGCAAATTCCACAGTGTAGACTGGAATGCCTCCCCCTGCCCTCCCCAGCAACACACACTTCACGATGTCTGCATATGTTCCCGTCCTCATCGGCAGGCTTTTGTTCCAGTCCTGAGAAAGACAGCCTCCCACTAAACAAATAAGGCCTCCAAAGCATGTGTTTTTCTTTGGTGTTCCTGCAAATTAGCACGAATCTGTGCTATGTTGTATGGAATTTCAGAGAGACATTTTATTATTTGTCCTCGATAGGAAAATGTGCAAAATCCATGGTTTGCTTATTCCAGATAGAATTATCTCACTTTTCTTTAAATCAGCATCAGTAAGCATGAATTCAGCCACATAAATAACTTTACTTTTAAAATCATGAATAAAAGTTGAGTTTACCCGCTAAAAAGTATCCTTTGATCCAAAGAATATCAATTATATAGCCTTAATTTTTTAACGGAACTTAAATATTATCAAAGCTGTATGTCTAGAATGAAGAATGAAATGAATCAATGTATTAGAAATTTGCAGATGTGTTACATAACAATCACTTCCTAACGAATGCTTAGAAGATCCTATTTATACTTTTGAGCCCTTAGATTCTACCCCAAATATGTCTTCTTAAATCCACTGTTTTTCTTTTCTCTTTAATTTCAGTTTGTTTGGTTTAATGATAGCTACTGAACATAAATGCCAAATTACAATGGCACTTCCCAGCTGTGTGCAGAACTTTATATTTTAAGTACCAATTTGTGATAAAAGAATGCTTCCAGCTCAATTCTCATCAGCATTAGAGGTTTTAGCAATTGCCAATTATTTTTCTAAATTACCTATTTTAATTAAGTAAAATATTGTGAATTTAAGATTATGAAGTGTTCAAGCATTATTTCATCTTTAACTAATTAGTGAGAAAAAGGAAATTATATTTTGGGACATTAAATGGCTATTTTTAGAATAAAATGCTTCTATGGTTTCAATGCCTTAAATTAACAGAAAATGCACAAACTTCTCTCGAAATCCTGTTACATCTGGGGTCTTTGAAGTACACCTTGAACTGATCATTTGTTCTAATGTAACATAAATTTGTATATTAATTAGAGCCAAAATGCCCAAGAGATTAAGCTTGGTATCTCCCTTGACTAATTTAACACATCTAGATCCCTCAGCAACATTTTAAAACCACCTGTTTCTATTTTGCCTTCATGGAACAAAGCCTAGAACATAGGAAGGACCTCAATGTATAACTATTGATATGACTGTCATCCTTAGTTCAGTTCTGAGATTTCCATTCCTAACTTATCATTGCATCTACATTCTATTTCTTACAAGAGCACTTCAAGAAATATGTACAGATGAAGGAAAATTGGCACCAAAATCTGCCTGCCTAGCAGCTTACAGCAATATTGGAAGGCGTTGAAAGCCATTATTAACTGACATTGGCAAAGTGATTTTGAAAAATCTTCGTTTTATATGTCAATGCAGGCTATGATGGTCCCTAAACTGTTGCTTCAAGGCAGAGATCACAAACTTTTTCTCTAACTGTGGGTCTCCCAGCATTCTCCCTCCTGAACACGGCCTATTAACGGTAGTGAGCTCCGGAGGGTAAAAGGGTTAGTCAACAATTCTGCTTGGCTGCTTCAGGGGAGAGCCAGTGTTTTGCAGTCTAGTGAACTAATTATGCACTCTTGATGAGATCATTAAAGGACAATAAAGGAAAATGGAAACAATTCACAATATGTATAGACAAATTTCTATATCGAATAATTTTTGTTTGTATTTAAATGTTGGGTAGAAACTTTTCTATCCTGAGTAATGGTTGGTTTTAAAAAAAGAAAATCTTCAGATTGAAACTTATCCTTTAAGCATAAAAGTATAGTCAGGAATTTTTAGTCTTTATGACTAACACAGATGATACCGATAGTTTGGTATCTCCGATCTGATCAATAAACTCTACTCTTACAATGGAGTGGTGCCCTGTGAGGGAAGGGGTGGGCACTCCTGGATCCCCCTGAGCATTTTCAGTGCTTCTGTTTCATTCATCCACCTTATTCTGGAAATTCAACTGGGGAGATTTATATTTTAGATATGTTTTTATTAAAATGCTCCTTTCAAAATTGTTTTCCAATTTATTCAACAGGCAATATTAGGTAATATATTTGAAAATACAAAAAATGGTGAATTTTGTCATTGATTCCTGTGTAGTCACGTGAATTCTTGGAGTTTCTAAAAGGGGATTTTTTTTACATTGGTTTACATCCCATTTCACGTGACAATTTGAAGCATCCAAAATGATACAAGCGAATTGGATGGATGACTCAATTAAATACAATGGAAGTCAATAAAGATCAATGCAAAGTAGTGTCTTGAACAGCAATAATCCCATAAATACAAACTAAGAAAGAAACCAATTAAATTTAGTGTGGGAAAAAGATGAAGAGGTTTTGATAAGTGAGAACAGTACAACTCAAAGAACAGCCAACTATTTTGTGACATGTCAATACTATCGCTATTGAGTGTAAAATGCATGAGTCCGTCTCCCTCAAAACCACCAGCTCCTGCTGCAATGTAAGGCTCTGTGGGGTGAACAGTCTGGAAAGAAGAAAGCAGTGATTCCCAGCAATGGTCAGAATCCAAAAGCTGAGAGGCCCTAAGAGGAAGAACAGCGGTGATTTTGCACCAGCGATCATATGTCTCTGCGGGAAGGGCAGCATTTAAGAGTCTGTGGAAAGAGGGTTTTAACATCTCCTTTCCCCAGGAGGGATGTCCCAGTCTCAGAACTGGGATCCTTCTGGCATCAGGATGACCAGAATTGGGGTGCCCTTAACGGCCAGCCCTGGTGCAGCCTCCTCTGCGGAGCTGGACGTGCCCCCAGGGTTGCTCAGCCAAACAGAAGGATCGAGAGGCAACATGATAGGTGCCTAGGATGTGGCTATAAAAGGTTCTTGTGGGCACTGTGTGATCCTTCATTGGCCAGTGCCACTGCAGGAATGATGAGGAAAATGGCCAGCAGTTGAGATATTTAGGCTGGACATTAGCTAAGGGGCTGTCTTGGCAGCTCCAGGAGATGGGCTGATAGTTCATCTTAAAGATTACAGACCCTTCCTCCTTGCGGCATAGAATCCTATGTGAGGCAGCTTTCCAGAGGAATGCTGGCGTCCCCAGTATTAAGACAGACAAAAGGACTGGAAAGCTACGGGGGAGAAAAGGAATTAAATAAGCCACACTGATTTGCCAGAAATCCCTCCATTCTGTGCCTAGATGTTGCTCTTGCTCATGTGCTATGTAGGACTGCCAGATTCACAAAGAAAAATACAGGATACCCAGTTAATTTGAATTTCAGATGAACAAGAAATAATTTTTTTAAATATAAGTATGTGTCATGAAATATTTAAGACATGCTTATACTAAAAATCTTTTTGTTATTTATGTGAAATGTAAAGTTAACTGAGCATCTGTGTTTGATCAGGCAACTACAGGAAGAACCACATGCCTCACACATACATGGTCTATGTCCTCTGGCCACCTGCATGTGACATGCTGAAACTATCACATCAACAAAACAAGCCCAAAGCTCTTATCTCTGAAGCACTGGGAGTTAAGTTACTACCTTAGAGGAGATGAGCACTTTTTAAAAATTAAATGTGGAAAAAAAAAAACGTGGAACACTCACAATGCAACATGACTTATCCTTGGCCTCCAAAGCCCTCACACCTAGATTATTGAATTAATTTTTCACTAGTTCTTCCTACTTTCCACTTTCTCCCCATACCTCTCTTCTATACAAAACTCTCAAATCAACTGCTGCGAAGGCTGCTTTCCTAACGTGACTGGGTCCCCTTTGGGCATCCAGTGAATGCCCAAACAGGCATGAAAGACCCTTCCCGAGCCCGCTTTCCAAAGATACGTATGCTTCCTCTGCCCTTGAATGGTACCCCGGGCTAGGAAGTTACAGATGAGGCCAGTGAAGAGGAGGCTCGTCCCTCCATGAAGCTGGGAGGGTCATTCCAACTCAAGGGATCAGGGAACACTTCCAGAGGGAGATAGCATTTGAGCTTCGCTTTGAAGAATGAGTGAAATTTAGGTATGGGACGCTGGGGAGAGAAAAGCCTGGCTGGTCTTGGGCAAAGGCCCTGGATTAGGAAGGTCTTGTGTGTTCTGAGAGCGAGAGGCCCTATTGGCTAATGGTTAGAGGATGCCCAGATTCAACAAACTACTGACCTTTTTGTAATCTCTAGAAACTTTTTGGAGTGCCATGTCATAATTAAGGCCATGCAACAGGGAAAGTTATCTGCAACGATTTTAAGCATCAGAAACTAAGAAGTTCATTTAAAATATTTCTGATC
Organism: Homo sapiens; assembly: GCF_000001405.40. Taxonomy (NCBI): domain Eukaryota; kingdom Metazoa; phylum Chordata; class Mammalia; order Primates; family Hominidae; genus Homo; species Homo sapiens. Next base: position 163,155,670 of record NC_000006.12, read on the forward strand.
TGTACCTTTAAAAATTCATTTTCAGTATCACTATAATCCACTCAACTGACTCTAAGTCTCATGCCCATTTCAGAAGCCCTAGCTGAGTCTCTATCCTGTCCCAACCCCACTCCGACTGCAGGTAAGATTCTAATGGCTGATCTACCTTTGTGCCCACGCACATCCTCTTGCTTTACTTGCTAGCCTTCTCAGCCGCCTCTAGATCTCTGCACACACCGCGCTGTTCAGGGGCCTTTTTATGTGCTGTTCCCTCCGTCTGGAATGTCCTTTCCCCTCTTTTCTCCAAATTCATCCTTCAGGATTCAAGCTAAGAATTGTCTCCTTCAAGAACTCTTCCCTGAGCCCCGAGACAGGCCGAGGGGCCCTTCGCAGCGCTCTCCTGAGGAAGCCCTCGCCGCCGTGTGCGGAAAGCTGCCTTGGGAAAGTTTCTCCCATCTGGCCCTGAGCTGCCGCAGTCTCCTCTGGCTCTTGGCTCCTGCAGCCTCTTCTCCATCAGGGCTGTCAGCCAGTCTCTGGGCTTCAGCCACCGCCTTTAAGCTCATGACTCCGAAATTTCAGTTTGCCTGAGCCACAGACGTATATATTGAATTATCTGTTCCTAAAAGCCTCAAGATCACTCCCAACTCAACATGTTTAAAGCTAAACTCTCATCTTCCCCAAGCCTGCTGCTTGTCCTACATCGCTTCTCCATCCCTGAGCACCAGAGGAGCCTGGGGGCCGTTTTAGACTCTTCTTCGCCCTTCTCCTGAACCAGCACCCCAGCCCAGTGCGCCACAGGTCATATCTGAGCGGTCTCCCTACGACCGCCACGCCCCATGACTCCCTCCTCTTCCACTGCTGCTGCCTGGGTTCCCACTGAGGAGCTCTCTCCTTGGGAGCCGTGCCCCTCCCACTTCAGTCCTCCCCAAGACATTTGTATTTATTTTCTATTGCTGCCAAAACAAATTTACAGAGTTGGGGGCCTAAAACAGCAGAAATTTATTATCTTGCAGCTCAATAGTGCAGAAGTCCACATAGGTCATACAGGACTAAAATCGAGGTATCTACAGAACCGTGTCCCCTCCTGGGGCTCTGCTGGAAAGCCTGTTTCCTGGCCTTTTCCAGCTTTCACTCCTTGGCTCGTGGGCCTCTTCAAAGACAACTTCTTCAAAGCCAGCAACGTTGCATCTCCCTGACCGTTTTTCGTGTCATCTCTAGCTGTCATCTTGTGCCTCACTCTGCCAGTTTAAGGACCATCGTGATTATACTTGATCCACCCAGATTATCCAAAAGGATCTCCCTATCTCGAGGTCTTTAATGTGAGCATGTGTGCAAAGTACCTTTTGTCATGTAATGCAACATAGTCACATAGTCACGGGTTCCAGGAATTAGGTTACGTTCATCTTGGCGGTGGTGGGCAGAATATTCTGCCTACCACACAGTGGAGTGGTCTTCCTAAAACACATCTCTTCTCCTACTGACAATTACTAACTACTACCTGTGGAGTAAAGTCCAAACTTCCTATTTGGGCATAATGGTCTCCATCCTCCGTCCCGCGTCCAGTAGTGCCTACATTCAAGAAACCACTGGCATTTGCTCCGTAGCAGTGTGACTGCCTCTGTGTCTACTAGTTCTGCTCTTTGACCTTGAGTGGCCTTACCTTCCCTCAGCTCTCGTGATCATTCCCAAGTCACCACCTCTGCAAAGCCTCCCAGGACCCACCCTCCGAGGTGGAACGGCACACTCCTTCTAGGTGCTTGCTGTCCCTACAACCACATCTCTCATGTCACCTCTCCCTCTTCATTGCACCTTGCTGGTTACCAGCAGAGCTCCCTGTGAACAGGAAACTTGTCTGTCCTGTTGCTGCATCCCCAGCACCAGGCATAGTGAATTACAAATGTTAGTTGGATGGGCAGATGAACGCACATTAGGCTGCAGAGCTCGTGGGCTGCTCCTGGGGCCCATGCTTGCTCTCACACTAATATAAGAACAGTTATCCAGCCAGCTGAGGATGTCAACAGCCACTTCTCAGAATGAAAAAGGACACGAACCAATGTTTCACTTTACTACACCACTAGTGAATTAAACGAAGCCACAAGCACTCGGCTTGGAAGATTCTATCATTCCTTATGTTCTATTCCCCACCGTTTGGGCCACTTAGTATTTTCTTCAGTGAACCTTTCTTGAGTGTTCAATAACACTATGAAAGTTGTCATTAGACCAAGAACAAATGAGGTTTAGTTTACTCCTTAGTAGACAACTAATGAACATTACCAAGCTGACAGGCTTAACTCTTGACTTTTCTATTAGGACCTAAAGAATCCATAGAAATGATCTACGGTTCTTGGAAAGAAATGGAAAACAAAATATTTGTGGGTTCATGTGTAGACCCTTATGGATAACACCTCTTTTATTCCTCACCAGGACCATGTGAGGTGGTAGCACTGAGAGAATGGGAAATGCTCCCAAATTCTTAGGTACATGAAGAAAACAAGATTGGACCTTCATCTATGTGTTTTCTGCTTCTGTAGTAAAATGAGGCTGCTGACTGTATTAAGAATTGTACCTACAGGGAGTGGCCACCTTGATTAATGTGTGGGCCGAGAAAGATATTGAGATGGGCATGAGTGGAGAATTATAGTAAAAGCAATCCCGGTGATGAGGAGGAGGGACTGATGGGTTTTAGTAACTGCTTGTGCATGCCTGGTTGAGCTGAACCACGAAACCTCTTTCACCCATCATTACTTGCATCTTAGGATAGGGAATGAGCTGTTTGAGCTGATGAACCCTTAAAGATCAAAGCTTCCATTTTTATGCAAATAGCCAAGAGCAATAAAACCTAGGAAAGAAAAGTAGGGAACGTGAATTACAGTAGGATGTGTGTCATTAAAAGTTACAGCAAGCCGGGTAGTTATTCAGAAGTAAGCTCCCAGCAAGGACAACTTTTCAAATTTGTGTTTTAAATTATTTTTAAATGAGAAGAGGTAATAGCAAAATATAACCCTGAGTTTCATTTGTTCTCTAATACATCACAGTGTTAAGATGATATAAATATGCAATCTTGAATTAGACATTACTAGGAAATAATATTGCACACTGACGTGCCAGGTACCTCCTCACACTGCAGCAGGCACAGGGCTTTGGTGCTGGAAGCTCTTGGAATCTGACTTAAGTACCACTCTCAAACTAAACATGGCTTCTTTAGCTTTTTTTTTGCAATGGAATTGCAAAACCCATTTTGCAGTCCAGGTATTGATCGTGCTGCCATATTATACTGTGGTTCTATGTAAGAAACCACATCCAGATCCTCCCTGAATAGACCTCTATCATGTTGCTTGGAGGTAGAACATGCCTTTAAGAATAAGCTGCTTTGAATGCCATGAGCACAGGTTTTGGAGTGAGAGAGCTGGTTCCAGTCACAGATCTCCTGCTTCCAGGCTGTGTGACCTCAGGCAACTTAGAGAACTTCTCTGAATCCACATTGTCACTGCATACTGTTGTTGTAAGCGTTACATAATGTAACCTTTTGAAAGAATTTAAATGTTATATCTATCTGGCATTTAGCTAGAGTTTAAAGAGTTTAAAGTTTCATTTTAGCTAAGAATAAATACTGTTATTTATTATAATATTAATCTATTATTTATATATGTTATATAATATATAATTTATTATATATTTACATTTTAGCTAAAAATAATAAATGATTTATTATAATATAAAATTTATTGTTATATTAGTTCTTATTTTTAGCTAAAATGAAGTAAATTCATGTGCTGTAAAGGAAGAGTTATTCTACCCTTATTATAATTGCATTTATACAATTTTTAAAAACTGATGCTGAATCTCTAGTGGAAAGAGTACTGGACTGAGTCTTGCATTATGGGTTTTAGTCCTGATTCTGTACTCACTAATTTTTTTCTACCTTCCTCAGCCACTGTATTCAGTATTTAATATAATGAGCGTTCTGGTAAGTTCTTTACATACATTATCTTATTTACTTTTACAAGGTCAGGGGTGACATTGACCCAATTACTTGTCCTTTCTAGGTTCTTCTTCTGCTTTGATAAGGGTGTCGAGTGTTCTCTCGGTCATTTCAGCAATAGTATTCTAAAGGAATACCTCCCACAAATTGTTTTCTAATTTTACTTCGAAGAATTCCAGAGATGACAGTCCTAGGGTGTTCATGACACTGGTAGACACCTTCCCCTCCCCTTCGGTGGCCCCGATCCTCATTCCGCCTCCACCCCCGTGACTTCCTCTCCTGCCTCCTTCCAGGATGGACAACCCACGCTCAGCCCCACTCTCTCCTTGCCAGCCCTGCTCCGACAGAGGCTGGCTTTCCCCATCAGGTGTTGGTTAGCACTTCTCTGTACTTTTAATTATTTTTCATTTTGATTATTTTCGCTGTGTGTTGGGAATCACTATGAGGTAGAGAGAACCATATCAAAGACATTACTCTGCATGGGTCTGTCCTCTGTCAAGTCCAAGACATGGATTCATTGTCATCTCTTATATTTTTTGGACACAAGTTTGATGAGGTTTCTTAATTTTGACAGTTAATGCTTCCAAGAAACTTAATAAAGATTCTACAGCCATTTTAGTAACCAGGGAACTACAGTGGAAATATATCTCTGAGTAATAAAATCCATCCCCTGGAAGCTGTCACCAAAGACTCAATAATCATGTTCGCCACCCAGCATCCTTTCTGGACCTCAAGCTGTCTTGTCAAGTGTGCTTAATATCCAGGATATTTAGTTTACCACAGAGTTAACTCAAGTATATTTGTGTTCATTTCCATGCAGGATTTTGCAAGTCACCAAGACTTAAGATAATGGAGGTTTTGACCTCTAGGTGAACAATTACTTTCTTTCTTTTCATGTACTGAACTCATGAAAATATATTGATGAATTAATAAATGGCATACCTTTTATACCAAATTTTAACAAAACAACCTTAAAAGAAGCTTGAATTGCTGCGTGGACAATATGGACATCATGATAGGAAAGTAAGGCATTTTAGTAATTAAGTTAAACAGCTATTTTGCCCCCATAACTCAGTTTTCCTTCCAATTTTCCAACCCCAATTCAGAATTACTGAACCTGAAACTTGCTGAGAAGAATAATATGTAGTCAGCTTAATTTCCCCCCTTGAATATGCTTAAGGGAACAAAACCCTCTCTTCTTGGAGGAATTCCCACCATGGTCTCTGGTTTTTCCTTTCCCCCTCAGCTACCATATTAAGCATTTACTCTCTTGGGCATTCTGCTAGGCTTCTTGTAAATATCATTTTATTTGCTCACAAGCACTTTATGTGAATATGAGGCACCTGGAGCCCAGAGCTACTGCACGCCCAAGGTGACAGTTAGGAAGCGGCAAAGCCAGGATTTAACCTGTGTGTTAGAAGTCCATGCTCTCATCTGTTGCATTAGAAAATGTGCTGCTCTTGACATCCATCTTCCGGGTCATGTAATCAACATCACGTATACTTGGCTCTCTGTTACCTTTTGCATTTCAATACAATCCCATAGCTTGGAGTTCAAGGTCCTCCAGGATTTCAGTCTTACCTACTGTCTCCACTTTGTCATTACTCCAGAGGTTGAATCTTCATCAGGAAGCCTAAGGTTTTTATCCCCACCGAGATGTGCCTGCCATATTTGCATTCTTGATAAAAACCTTATTTAGGATTATTCATTTTCAAATCTTCAAGTGGGTGAACTGTTGTTTGGTTTGGGTTTGGTTTACTGTGTAATGTGATGCCTCGCAGAACATGCCATATTAGGGCATTTTGATGTATTCATTTGTTCAAAGACTGGATGCATTCCTTTGTACTGGCCTGCACATATATGTAACCAGTTCCTTCTTGATGGACATTAGGTTATTTTGAGGATCTTGCTATTGAGAACCATATCATAACTTATATTTTGTACACGTGCGTATATTTTGTGCACTTGTGTGTATATATCTGAAAAATACAGTCTTAAGAATAGAATGTGCATGTTTCATTTCGAAAGAGATCAACCCTGACCCCCTCCAATCCTCCAGAAGTTGAAAAGGTTGTCAAGGTCCTCATTTTCTTAATTTGGTGTTTTACGTTTGGGTGTCCTCTGACATCGGGGTTCAAGTGAGTTCATTCCGTGGCTCCGTTGCACTACCCAGCACCCAATAGCATTACTAAAAGCTGAGTGGACCTCTCAAAATCCAGGGGCTGCTTGTCGAGTATTTAGAAAGGGATTGAAATTGTAGGCATGTGTTTGTTGTAGCCATAAAAGTATCTTCTCAAATGTATTTGCATGAAATTTTAAGTAAGTCTAGATCTTTTGAGTGGAACAGACTGATACATACCTGCCAGAGAACAGATACTGAGGAGTCAAATACAGCTCATTAGAAGACACACAGAACTGCATGGGGAGAAAACACCTGTCCCACAGCCTTGGGTATGGGGCTTGCTGGAGCCTCCACATCCTGGACTCTGCTGGAGGAAAAACTGAAAGTAACCCGCCAGCTGCCAGGGCCCACTCCCAGCCTGGAGAGCCAGGACAGCCAGGTCTCGGCAGGTGCTGACCTACAAAAAGGACGGTCCTGCTAGGTGAAGTGTGGTCAGGGAGAGGCAGCTGCAGGTGATCTTGGAAATCAATGCTCATTAATTATCAACGTGGCTAGTAAAGCTCTGGTGGGACCTTGGTTCTCAATCCTGGCTGCACGTTGAAATCACGCGGGACGTTTTAAAAGTTCTGATGCCAATTTCTAATCCCACTTGTTGTGCAATAACCCCAATCCCCCTCAAATGCCTCCAAATAATCTGAGTCACATGTGCTTGACACAGGCTTTTCAGCTTTCATTTCGTTTCTGCCAATTTCTTCCTCTCCTGCTCCATCTGATGCCACAAGAGAACAGCCTCTGGATTGGCAAGTGCAGACTACCAGAGTGGTAAATGCTTGCCCAAGAAAGACCCCAGTTCACACGGTCAGAGGGTGATTTTCTCCACCTTTCTAGACCTGCAAGGATTCAAGTGTCACATCTGGAGCTTAGCTGGGCAATTTTGCAAGCTTCCCAGGTGGTACATGCAGCCAAGGCTGAGAACAACTGTGGTAGGGCTGCAGCCAGGGTGAGGCCCACTGGGTCCAGCCCCCAGAGCTGGCAAGAGCTGGCCAGCCGTAAAGGCCCCAGCAAAGCAGGGCATGGTGGTCTCTAACTCTGACTATGAAACTGGTGATGAAGACAGAGCCAGTCCTTCTGGTTTTCGGTAGCACAGTAGGGTTGTCAAGGGTTGTCAAGGGCAGCACAGAGCCAGGGAGGTGGAGCTGCTGTAGGACTCACCAGAGACCACACAGCAAGGCAAACTCCAAATCGATCAGCCTGGCTGCTAATGGAATCGTGTCCTAACCAAGTTTCGTTAGGAAATGTGTGCAACTTCGCTGCAGGGCATGGCTCCAGCTGGGAGGGACTGCAGGAAATCAGGACCTGACCCACCTTTTTCTTTCCAATTAAGTGGATCCAGCCTGTGTACACCACCGGGGATGTGGCTGGCAGCTCCCACCTAGGGGTTTTCAACTATTGCCACACCTACTTGCTAATTCAGCTGCTTTATCAGCTCCACATGGTTTTTTTTGTTGTTTTTTGTTGTTGTTGTTGTTTTCTTTTCGAGACAGAGTCTCACTCTGTCACTCAGGCTGGAGTGCAGTGGCATGATCTCGGCTCACTGCAGCCTCTGCCTTTAGGGTTCAAGCGATTCTCCTGCCTCAGCCTCTCCAGTAGCTGGGATTACAGGCAACTGCCACCACGCCCGACTAATTTTTGCATTTTTAGTAGAGGCAGGGTTTTGCCATGTTGGCCAGGCTGGTCTCAAACTCCGGACCTCAGGTGACGCGCCTGCCTCGGCCTCACAAAGTGCTGGGATTACAGGCGTGAGCCACCGTACCCGGCCTTCAGCTCCACTTTTGAGCTAGATTTAAATGCCGAGGATTTTATTAGTATAAAAAATAATATTGTCCATATTTTTGTATCATGTTATTCTTGTATCTGTGTTATTGTATTTTATTAATTTAGAAATGGTTTATGAGTCATTCAAAAAGTGTTCAGTAGCATATTAAATATTGAGATTATTAAGGCAATTTATACCCAAATAGATTTAGACCTTCAGTCTGAATTTCTTTTGGTATAATAACTTTTATTGTAAAATACAAAGGTTGATAAATAATTGTGAAGATACATTTTCAAAGGGAAAAAGAATTTGTAGGCCTGAATTATTATTTTAAATCTATAAATAATATATTTTACAGATAAATAGATATTGCGATTTGTTTTTAAGCTGTCATGAATCAAAGAACAGCCTTTCTCAGATAAGCAGAAATTGATTAAAATAGACATGATTTCAGATTTTTATTTATATTATTTTTCTGTTCTCATGCCTAATCATGAAGTTCTACAAAGTTCCACATTTAAAAAAAAATGTTTGGCTTAAAAAAAATAAGATGTAAAATATTTGTTTTTGAAAACACTGAGGCCATATCAGGAAGGGTAATTGGGAGGAAAAAATTAGGTCACAATGAGTAACAAAATAGTATTTGTTTCTGTTTTCACTTGCTCTGCAATAGCCATAATCTCCCTCAAATTCCTTTCGATATCTCAGTCACATGTGTTCATGGCACAGCCTTTTCAGCTTCCATTTGGTGGCTGCCAATCTCTTCCTCTTCTGCTCCATCTAACAAGAGAATATCCTCTACGTTGGCCTCTAAACTAAGTCCCCAGTTCACACTGCCAAAGTGTGAATTTTCTCCCAGGTCTGGACAAGACTCTGCCTCAATTCCCATCCAGCCTCTATGTCAGTCCACACTCAGTGGGCGCTGGGGATGGTTATTAAGGGACCTCGGGCTCTTCCCTCGCTTGAGTTAAGAAGCTGCATAGGAGAGAGAGTAGAGCTACCTTAAGATCTCTTTGAACCTTTCACTCCTCCAGGAACGATGCGGGCTGGATTGCAAAACTATCAGATTAACAGATAATACAGTTCTCAAATTCATTCCACCTCTCAGCCACTGGCCCGTTTTTGGGGCCTTAGTTCAAGCTGGGCCCCCATCACACTTGAATTCCAAACATTGTGAACTAGATAGGCCACATGGTTTAGAGACAGAAACCTAGATTTAAATCCCAGTTAGTAGCGTTAGCTGAGTGGCCTTAGGCAAGTACCTGAACCATTCTGAGGTTCAGGATTCTGACTTTATTTCCTGGCAGAGCTCCTGTGGTGATTTGGTAAAGTCATGCATGCTCAGGGTATGTATGTATGTACATGAACCAAAGATGCTGGACAAGGGTTTGCAATGGTGACTTTTTTTTAACAGAGGTTAAAAAGCCAAAAGCATGTGTTGAGCCTCTCCTAGGTGCCTTACACGTATGTTAGGGTCTATGGGGGTTTAAAAAAAAATACTAACACCAGGTCCCTATCCCCAAGTGCCAACACTCTACCAAGGACACGCATGTGGCAAGTGCTACATGGTCTCACATACAGAATGCAGACAAAAGCTTTAGAAAGGTCTGATGAAGAAAAGCCCTCCAGAGGAGTGACAGTTTCTGGAGATGCACGTTAAGTGCTGTCTAGGGCCAGGAACAGCATAGCAGAGGCACCAAACAGGGAGGCCGCGCTGCCTGCGCAGGAAACGGTAAATGGTTTGGTGGAGCCAGCGTGGGGCAGGGGCTGGTAGGGGGCGCTGAGGACGGCAGAACGGAAAGGGCCCTGGGGGAGAGAGGTCTGACTACAACCCAAAGAACGCACCAAATCTCAGTGAGGAACCGCGGATGGGGAGTGACATCACTCATCCCATCAGCCAGTGGATATTTATTGGTTGCCTGGAGGAACCAGTACCAAGAATACACCCATAAAGGGGTCAAAGCCCCACCCCTGTGGAGACCCCTGTCTCAGGGGGAAAAAGGGGAAATGGCCACAAACCTCCATCCTTGTGATAAGTGTTGAGATCCGGGTAAGCACAGCGCACTAGGGTAACCCAGGGGAGAGGCGCTGGCCCAGCGTGGGGTGAGCAAGGAGGGGGCTCAAATTCAAGCCTTCAAGTCGGTTCACCCTGTCCAGGCTTCGGGAAGCTAACTGGAGGGAGGGAGCCTGGCAGAAAGGGGAAAGCTGGGAGGAGAAACATCACTCAGAGGCCTCTGTGACGGCCCAGGCGAGGGGACCAGGGAGGCCTCATTTAGGACAGTGAAGATGAGAATGGGGCGACAGGGGGAGAGAACGAATGAAAGGGCTTCATTGCATCTAAGGCACCATTAGCCATTCTTTAAAAACTTCCTTCAATACAGAATTATTTTTAAAACGTTATGATTCTAATATAATACAATTTCTCTTATTTGAAATCTTCACTGGTTTGCCCACAAGCGCCCCGATTTCATCTAAATCCGAGTGTAATGAAAGACAGATGCATTGTTTGGAGTAACACAGAAGCTCCAATTCCTCGGCTGCAGGGCTTGGCGCGGGGTTTCTGGGCAGCGTCGCTTGCGCCCGGCACATGTGAAAGGGTTTTGTGCTCGTTTCCTCTGCATCTGCCGAGGGCAACACTGAATCTGTCTTCTCTCCCTGCTCTCCTCTTTGACTGTTTTGTTTGTTCCATTTGCCCTGCTCAACAACAACAACAAAAAAATGTAGATTAGAATCGGCCCTTTATTTCAACAGCAGTGAAAGAATTATTTTGTTAATTGGTATATTGATACCCCAAGAACTGCTTACTGTGCCAAGTTATTAAGAATAAGTAGACGAGGGGCAGATTAAACTTTGAATCACCTGTTCCTTTGGGCAAAATACATAAACCAAATTGACTGCAACCAAATGTCATATTATTTACATGGCGTGCACAATTTATTTTCTAAAAACGTGCTCAACAAAAGATTTGAATTTGCTCTTAAGCGTCTAATGGATCCCACTTAATAGTGAAGCTCTGTCATGTGCCCTTCTGTATAATTAAATCATATGGAAAAATGTCACAAAGCAAAATAAAATGTATTTATTTCAGCCATATCTTCCCAAAGCATGACATGAAGTCTGAAAAAAGAATCACTAAGCATTTTTATGCCATCTGTGCTGGTAGGGGATATGTTTACCAAGTATGTCACTGTAAAATATTCCATTTTGAATTAAGCATAGTCTACTTATTACTATATAGTGTCTGGCTGAATGAGTATAAAATTGGACAAAATTCCATATCTGACAAAATACTTTTTATTTGTTATTTTGTTGCAAACCTAGTCCACCGTAATGTCCTTTACTGAATTCCAAGAAATCCAAAGAAAGAATCATAGATTATATTTGTGTTAAAAATCTGCATGCTTTTCTATCCAAATAAAGTTCAGATCATCTTTTCCAACAGTTGAAATTATAGCTTCTCATTAGCAGAATATGTCTCACTGTGACAACTTGGATGATGATGCTATTGGGTCTGTTAATCTCTATTGCAAAAGGAGGGCTAAAATGTCTGCACAATCAAAAAAGCTGTTGTTCCAGTTTGCTGGTAAAACACAAAGTTATATCCATTATGATTTCTACCTACCAGACAGAAGAAACCTTAAGCTTATAGTTTGCCATTATTATGATTAAATTTTATGAATACTTATAGAATTTTTATTTCCTATATGCGATAAGCCCTCTTTGTAGTTTGTTAATGAGATGTAAAAATTCTGTAAATTTTTCGGAGGGCAGTTTGATCGCCTCCAGAAAGCATCAGAGGGTCGCAGCTTAATCACTGATTCATTAAGTAACCCTGATCTATGCTATATCCTTCAGGGTTCTTTGCCAAGTTGATATATCATGGCATTGTTTTGAGACTCATGTGAATAATAAAATGTAACATAGTTTAGAAATGAAAATACTTTATAACTATGTTGAGCTCCTTCTAGTTGTAAATCTTCCCAAGTCAATAATATTCATATCAAAATTTTCAAATCTAGCTAAATGAAGGAGATGTGACTTGGTAAAAAGTAATAACATAAAATTGTATCATTTTGATCATGATTAAACAGGAAAGCTATTATTTTTCTAAAATGAAAAAAATAGAAATTTTAGTTTGTCATAGAATCAAGGGCTAGATTCACTTAATAAATTGTCTTGATTCTGCTCAAAACTCTGAAAAAATTTAAAGCTCTGTAAGGTTTTTGAAGTCCCACTTCCTTTCAAACCAACCCTGCTATCTCCTTGAAGCCATTTTTGACAATAACTGCCTGTGAATGTGATTTGTAAACTATTAGACAGCACACAAAAGTGAACTGCTGTCACTAATCATATAACTATCATTCAGATTGTGGCAGCTACTCTTTCCGATAGTTCCCATAGGTTTCCAATTGAACATAGTATTTTTTGCTGCGGTGTTTGTTTTATCAATTGATTGTATGTATTTTCATATTATTTTGTACACTGTCTTTGAACTTGACCTTAAATATTTTCTGTCCATGGCATATCCCTTGATGTGATTACAGGTCAAAGTCCACATCATAGATGCCTAAAGTATCCTGTAGGAAAACAGAATGGGCACTCCAATAAACATTTATTAAAGCATTTGGCCGGGTGTGGTGGCTCATGCCTGTAATCCTAGCACTTTGGGAGGCTGAGGCAGGTGGATCACCTGAGGTCCAAGACCAGCCTGGCCAACATGGTGACACCCTGTCTCTACCAAAAATACAAAGATTAGCTGGGCATGGTGGCAGGCACCCATAATCCCAGCTACTCAGGAGGCTGAGGCAGGAGCATTGCCTGTCCCTGGGGCCGGGGTTGCGGGTTGGGGGTGGGGGTGGAGTTTGCAGTGAACCAAGATCACACCACCTCACTCCAGACTGAACAACAGAGCGAGACTCCGTCTCAAAAAAGAAAAAGAAAAAATTGTTAAAGCATTGCATGAAATCTGCTTTAACTCCTATTCTAATAAAACAACAACAAGAACTCTGAAAATGACTTTCACCATAATTAGTTGAAAATGTTACTTTCCTTTGGCCCAACTGTATGTAATTCATTATTATATCTATGTCTGAGACTGAGTGTGGGTTTTCAATATAATCAAACGAAAGACCACCTTTACCAAAAGAACAAATTTAAAGTTCTTTTATTCCTGTGAACCATATTCTCCAATCATCTACACTGAATATTTTAAATGGGAATTTTTGAAGTGTTAAATATTTATCACCATGTTTTTCTTTCCTCATTTATATGGAGTACTGGAGCTTGTGGCCATAATATTCTAATGCAAAATATGGATCAACTTTCAGTCTGAAAGTTTGAAAGTTAATACACTGATTTTACCACCTGCAAAAGATATCCATATTTGAATAAAAGCGACCAGAAGTGAAGCTAATCAATTTAATAACACATGCAGTTATTTCCTCTTTCTTTTAAAACCCAGAAGGAAAGTGGGGTCCACATGGTCCTAATTGTGTTATTAGTTCTTAGTTTTCCTCTAGGTGCTCTTCTAAGTCTTCTTTTGAGCAAATATCATGAAAAGCTCAAGATGAGAAGCAGTGTTGATTTGAATGAAAGGCTAATCCCAGTTGTCCTTTTTCTAATTGATAAAAACCATGATGATCAGGATGAGTCTCACTGAAGCGTGTATTATGATAAAGTAAACTACGGTTCATGGAGTCACATTTGATGTTCAGGGATCTCATCTGAGAAGGAAAGAGAGCACCTTTCCTCAGCCTGGAGAAAATGAGGCGTCGGTGGGAGCAGGCAGAGCTGCATCTGTCAGTGTGAGTGAGGAAATCCATGTCTGATTTTCCAAAGGAAGTCAAGATTCGGGTCAACTGTGGGGCGAAAGAACAAAGATACCACTGGTGGTTCAGGACGAGAGGTGCGGGTTGGGAATAGCCATGGAGCTGGACGTGTGGTACTGACCAGGGATGGGGGAATTGTTGTTGCGGGTGTGGAACTGGCCCCACTTCACACGGCTGCGTGCTGTGCTCCTACGGCAGCCAGGCTGTAGAGCAGGAATTCTCATGTGACCACTGGTTTGGTTATCCCAGATTAGGAATTAGCAGGAGGAGTGTGGCAAAGGCCATGTCTAGAATGTGCTAGGAGGAGCTGGCCAGACGGCTCAGGAGAGAGAGGCCGCTGGGCAGGCTGGGCGGGGAGGGGCCATACAGACTTGGGGAGCGCCTTCTTCTGCTCTGGTTGCCCAGCCAGCCACAAACTGGGTGGCTTCCACAACACTCGTGTCCTTTCTCACAGTGCTGGAGGCCGGCAGTCCAGGGTCAGGGTGTCAGCAAGATCGGTTTCTCATGGGGCCTCTCTCCTTGGCTTGTGGACGGCCACTTTCTCGCTGTGTCCTCACAGGGTCGTCCCTCCGTCTGTGTGTTGTTGTCTGTGTCCTTATCTCTTTTTATAAGGATTAGAGCCCACCCATGTGACTTCATTTCACCCCAATTACCTCAAAGACACTTCTCCAAATACAGTCACATTTTTCGGAGGAGCTGGAAGTCAGGGCTTCAACATAGGAATTTTAGAGGCTGAAAGGTGACAGTTCAGCCCGTAACCAGAAAAAGGCAGTTGCCCTGCGGGGAAGGGAACTGTTGAGGGGTGAGACTGCTGGAGGAAGAGGAGGCTGTGGCTTAGAGCGGGGAACAAGAGGTCCCCCAAGAGAGATGGGACCTGAGTATGAGTTGAAATGGCCTGTTCCGTGTTGTTCTCACCCTGTAAAATCCCTGAGGGCAGGAATCAGCTTTCTGCATCTCTGGTTGCCTGGCCCACCGTCAGCTCGGAGCATTAAACTATAGGGACTCACCCCTGCTGAACATCAGATTGAGGGTCATGTGCCCGCAATTCTCTCCAGGCACCACTAGAGGGCGAGCCTCCATTTTGAAAACTACCCAGAATCCCCTGCTCCCGCTGGGGTCAGGACCGCCCCTACTCTCTCAAGGACTCACCCTACTCTGTTGTGCCACACAAGCCGCTGCCACAGGGTTCGCCCTGCTTTTATTCTAAATCTTATGGTAGCTTGGAAAGTAGCCTGGCATCTGATAGAAACAGCCCTCAAGTGGTCCAGCTTCCCCCACCTTGCACTGCCGGGCAGTCTCTATTTGCTGTCGATTCCACGCAGTCTATGCATCTGGGTTATTTTCACTTTTCCAAAACCAACTCTCAGCCGATTCACTGATCTTCTACAGGGTTGCTCCAGTTCCTACTTCTTTTATCGCTTAGACCTTTCTTTTTATTCCCTCCTTCATTCTCCCACTCCTTTTCATCTGTAGTCTCTTCTTACCAGTACGAGTCCGTGTTACTTCATTTGTAGCTCCTAATGTCAGCTCATCAAATGAACTATAGTGAAGTAAAAGGATATCGCCTAGTGCTAGGTTATAGCAAAACTCTCAAACAGTTAGACTTGCTTTTCTGCAAAATGTGAGCATGTAGACTTTTGCATCAACTCATAGTAAACTTTAATTTTGTTTTGATGTCTCAAAAGATTTAAAATGCAGGTTCGACCATAATTTTTAAAAGCAAAGTAGAACATGCTGGCTATATTATGAATCCATTCAATGACAAGTAGTATTAGTGACTAAATGATCATTATAATGTAATGTTAGCTGCAGAGAATTTTGAAGAAAGATAAAGAAGCTTGCCACCTAGTAGTCAAGATGAGAAAAGAAAAGAAAAAAAAAATCACAGATCAAAGGGGGAAGTCCCAAGAGAGCATCCCCACATTGCAATAGCCAAGAAGAGCTGGCATTGACTGAGTGCTGACTGGGCACCAGGCTGTGTGTCCACTAAGCCGTTTATCTGCTTTTGCTCACTTATTGTATATCTTTGCCCCTCCGTGAGGCAGGTATGACTGTTCTGCCCATTTTACAGATGAGGAAGCTGAAGCTCAGAGCGGTTAAGCAATTTGCCCATGACCACACAACTATCTGATCTAAAGCATAGGCTCCTATCTACTCCCAATGATGTACCAATCCTAGCACGATTATAGCTCTTCTCAAGTGCAAAAAGTTCAAAATTAATCTAGAGATAAAATAACTTTTCCCCCCAGTTTCTCATGAGAGTAACTAAGCCCTTCCATCAGCTGTGGCCAGCTGGGCAGTGATAAGGTAGTAGATGTATACAGAGGACTGAAAAGAGGAGAAGAAACACAGACAGACTGAAAAACAACTGTCTCCTCCCTGGTGGAGCATGAGCCCATGGGTCGGGACCCTGGACTGCAGCTGGCCCAAGTCGGTAGCACTGCCTGTGGGGACCCCTTCTGAGAGTGTGGAAAAGTCAGCTTTCCCCTGTGAGAGCAGCTGGGTGGGGAGGGGACATTTTCCATCACAGACTCTACCATGGATTTATTTTTATACCAAAATAAACAAGAAGTCCATCAACCTGGCACAAAAGTTAATGGACCTGCCCCCAGCTAGGGCCCTGTCTACCTGGGGTCTGGCCCCGTAAGTGTGCAAATTACAGAACAGGCTTCCAAACATAGAAATATCTTTCACTGTAATCCCAGGAAGCTCTAAGCTTCTACATTTTATTAAGCTGCAGTTATTATTTTAAAACAAGGCCAAGTGCCTCTTGGTATATACTTAAAACCTGCAAATTGCTTTTTAATGTCTCAGACTTGTAGCCAGCATTGGAAATTTCCAGTTCCTCTACCTTGATCAGCTCAGACATTTCCACCCCCTCAACCTAAATGAGCAGACCTTAACTTCACACCTGATTCTCTAAAGAAAGCTACCAAAAATACAACAAAGATGATGGGATTTTTGTTACTTTAATTATTTTAATTGCCAGAAAGTATATTTTGCTTAAGCATTAGGAGAAACAGAAAGTTGCCCCAGAGAAAGCCTCTTTGATTCAGGCCGTGGAATAATTTGTTTTAGTGTACACATGCACACACACACGCATGCATGCACGCACACATACATACAACCTGAGGAGGAGTAAACACTTTTGTGGATTTTTCTTTTCTGGGAAGAAGAATGCAGCGTTCATTGATTAACACAATTTCTTGCTCTCTTGACTTCTGGTGGATCCTGAAACACATGCGAGAACTCACATCTGGGGGCCAGGGAGCTGGGCTCAGGACACTGTGTGACACTAAGAACTGTGCGGTCTCCAGAAAGTTCTAAATGTCATTGGCCTCAATTACGAATCTCTAAAACAGAGACTGGTGTGCCAATTAGGTTTTAAAATATTAAAAAACTTGACCTAATCATTTGAATTCTAGGAGTTAAGCCTAAGGAAATATCAAAGATAGAAAGAGGCTTGAATGCCTAGATATTTTCAATCTGTTTTTAATAATAGTGAAAAATGAAAATAAGTTAAATGTCTACCAATATGAAAATGGCTAAATCATGTTTTGTTCTCATAATGGAATATTATATCACCATTTAAATGAGTGGAGAGTATCTAAGAACATGATAAAATCATCATGGTATAAAATTAAGTTAAAAAACAAGGTATAAAACCATATAATACAGTCTTAGTTGTGTAAAAATATGTGCTTGTGTGAATACACACACGTTAGGAAATACACCTGAGTGGCAATGATGGCTATTTCTGAGGAGGGAGATTACACAGGATCATTTTTCTTTATCCCTCTCTGTTTGCCATCTCTTCCATAATAAACTGCATCATCAAAAAACTAAGTTATTTTGAAAATAAAAATAATGGATTGGTCTAGATTATCTCTAAATTTCTTTACAATATAAACCTCTATTCCACTTATGAACCAATTAAAAACAAATTAGAAAATAACAGGGAGGTTTTGGCATTTCCAAAAACAGTGGCTCCTTGGGGTAGAGACCTTCCACACCTGATCTCATCCCATCCAGGCCAAAACCGTAGAGGATTTGCAGCCAGGGTTATAAAGATACTGCAACCCATTTTAGAAAACGAAGCATGAATGTCCCCCTTAGAGGCATAGGTGGTTTCTCCTCTAGACCATGGCTTGAGGCTTTTGAGCCCTGCAGTAAGGTGGGCTCGTCCTCACTGATGAGAGAATCACGCTCTCCGCTCTCCCCCGCAAGTGGCATATGGTTTTTGCCTCAGGACCTCCAGAACGTGGGTGTGGCTGAAGTTGCTGCTTCCTTTTCCATAGGAAATATTTTCAAGGTCGCCCTCTCCACCCTGAAAACTAGAGGGCACCTCAATGGGTGTCTGCAAGTTCCCAGCTCAGGAGCTTTCACCTCTATTTGACAGGCCCTTCATAAGTTCCTAGTTAAAACCTTGGGGTTAGAGTGTTGGTGCCTTGTCCTCTCCATAGCCAAAGGCATCGCTCTGTGCTCTGGGCTTCAGATGTTAAGGAGAGGTAAATACTAAAGGACGTCATTGTTCCCTGGAGCACGTATCAGCTGCACAGTTATGACTCAAGGCACAAAATCTGAAGTAATCAAGTCGTCCTTTGACTACTCTGTGCAAGAAAATGCATGCCTCAGAAATGTGTAGCCACGCACCGCACTTTTTTCAAATAATTCTACTCAGCTGGAAGTGATTTTTTATGTAGAATATCCTTTCATGATTACTTTAGAGCAGGAATACCCAATCTTTTGGCTTCCCTGGGCCACATTAGAAGAAGAATTGTCTTGGGCCACACATAAAATACATTAATGATAGCTGATGAGCTAAAACAAATTGCAAAAAAAATCTCATAATGTTTTAAGAAAGTTTATGAATTTGTTTTGGGCCACATTCAAAGCCATCCTGGGCTGTATGCAGCCCATGGGCTGTGGGTTGGACAAGCTTGCTTTCGAGGATCAGTTTGCTTTTCAGTCTGGGCATAGAAGAGAGAAGTGGGAACTTCTGAATATGACCCAAAACTTCAGGTTCCCAGTGCCTGGTCATAGAGTCACAGACTCCTTATTCTTTTGAATATCACTTTGTTTTTACCATAGAGAGACTGTATAGAATCATAGTGCAAGAAAGTGCCTTCAAAAATGAACCAGTCTATCTCATTGCCTTCAAGCTAAACCATACCAAAGCCATTGCTAACTAGTAAGTAAGGGTCTCTATTTTAAGGACCATCGCAGGAGAATCCCAGACTCGTACAGAGTTTGTCAATCATCATTGTTGGGAAACTTTTTCATATATTCAACTTAAACCTCTCAGAAGAGTTTGTCAATTTCTTCTTATTCAATTCTCATTCAAGGTGAAAACAGCTGGGCACCGTCTCCATCATCATCATCATTATTGTTACTGTTACCATCACTAATGCCACTGCTACCACCTGAGACACCAAGGACAGTAGGTGCTTTGCCTCCACTGTCTCATTGAGTCCTCACAGCACACGTAAATAAATAGAGGGGTTTTATTTCCACCTTTGATACATGAAGAAACTAAGGCTCAGAAAGACAAAATGTTTGTCCACAGTACAGCTTGTTGTAGCAGAGTCGAAATATCAACCAGGTGGACTTTTTGTACAGGGCCATGTTACTGCGTCATCTACTTTGTATGATTACAAACTTTCTTAATCTCCAATAGGTGAAATTATTTTAGCCTCTCATCCTGTTTCCTAACCCAGAACTCTATACCTCTCAGAAATGGTTGCTGATATCTGTTTGACCACTAGGAAAAGGGGGAACTGGACTAGTATTTTCTACTGCGTTCCGATCTGCCCTCCTAAGATAATTAGGTTTGAGCTGGGGAGGGAAGAACAGCTAACTTTAAAGCTTGGGGAACAATGTCAGCTCCCAAATATCTTAGGGGTGGAGCCATCTGTTTGGGAGGGACCTGAAGAGACTTCTGTTGAAGCTTTGTTTGTTTGCAGAGGGAGCATAGAGTGTTTACTCAAATGATGCATTCATTTGGGGTTGGCTTGCGGGGGAGTGGGACCTGTGAAGGCTGGGGGGAGTGGTTAAAGGACATCACTCCCCCCCAGCCACCTGTGACTCTACTGCTCCTGAGGGATTGTGGTAACAGTTCTTTCTGGTGGGATGCCACTGAGGCTTTCTGGTATCCCCGGGGTTGTGTAAAAGCTCTAGGTGCTGGGAAGTGGTGAGCAGCTGCTGGGGTGCATAAGGGGGAGTGGGGAGGGACGGAATGTCGGGAGCAGGTGAGCTGCAGGTGGAACCAGGGTTTCCTGAGGCCTGGCCTGTGATACTGTGAAACATCAAGGAGTGTGAGTCCAGGGAGATCTGAGCAGCACCTGTCAAAGGAGGAGGAGGAGGAGGAGGAGGAGGAGGAGGAGGAGCTCTGCTTCTCAGGCTCAATTTCCACTGAGGAATCCCAGCATTTTTAACTCATAACCCAAGCTTTTGCCTCTGGGTCATAGTGGATCAAAAGATAAATGGGCCTTTTCAATTTTGTATTTCCAATCTCAGATACTCGAATCATTCCCAATCTAAAGCACAGTTTGTGTTTCAGTTCTCTGGTGCATAGCCCAGGTAATGAGTCTATTCTGTTTATTTATCTAGTTCAGAGATTTGGGCTTCTAGTCAAAGTAACCTTACACAAAGAAACAACAAAACACAAGTAGACCCGTTAAGAGCAATTGTAAGATGTCAGTTTCTCCGTCTTACCTGCCCCCCACCCCCCAACTTGTGGGGGTTTCTTCTATAGTCTGCATAGAGAATCTCACCTTTTCCTTTGAACGGCCTCTTTATTTCTTTAGGCAGTCATGACTGTTCTTGGACACAGAAGGTGATCAGAACAAAGATACTAACACTTCACTGGTTCTCTTTTCCTGCTCACAGTTGCTTCAACAATAAAAATTGTGCAATCTTGATATAAGTCACAAAGTGTAAAACATTCCTATTCTTTCATAAGTGACACTTTTCCCTATTAATGGAGAACAAAGGAAGAAACAACCAGACAGAAGGAAAATGCTCACCACACAGGCAGTAAACTAGCCCCGTTATGCCCTTGACTCTTTTGCTTTTGATTATCATTTGTTTACTCAAATATTTATTGAAACCTACCAGGCTAAAAAGCATTGTGCTAAAAGCTGGAAAAGAAAGAAAGGGGGGAGGGAAAGACGAAGGCAAAAAAGGGGAGAAACTCAGACAAAATTCCTGTCCTTAAAGAGACTGCAGTCAAGTTTGCAAAGTTAACGTATGTGGTAGACCGTGAGAGTGATTCAGATGAAATGCTCTTGGAGCCTGGCTCTAGAGATGAGAGAAGGTTTCCTAAGACATTTCACTTGGACTTCAGACACTGGGCAGGTGGAAGAAATATATTCTAGGCTAAGGAAATAGCGTGAGTAACGTCTTTGAACATAAACAACAAATTTGCAGCCGAAGTTGCATGGAAAAGGCTGGAGAGAGGGAAAGTCAAGAAATAATGGAGGGTGTTAAATGACAAGCCCAGGAATCTGGGACAGTCAGCTGTCGTTGAATACTGACAAATAGGCAAGTGACATCATCACACATGGGCTTCTGTTTGGAGGGGAGTGACAGCCCTCCATAAGGAGTTTAGGGAGTTGAGGTGGATTCAGGTGAGCCAGCCTGGAGACTGTTGCTGTATCCGGGACAAAGAGCAAGAGGCAGAACTAGGACAGTGGCAGTGGAAACTAAGAGGAAAATAAAATGCTTAAAACAGTGCACAGAAATAACAACATAACAGACGCCCCAAGGCACACACAGCTTAGCAGTTAGTTACACATACGGCCCAGGGAGATAGAGACAGACAGAGATATTTGGGAGTGTCCACATGAAACCAGTAACTGGAAATGTTAAACTGAGTACAATTACCAAAGATCTTCTGGTAATGAAGGAAAGTGAGCCAGGAACAGCCCTCTGTTTTCGAGCATGTCCATTTGAGAGAGGGATGGAGACAGAAGATGAGCCTGAGGGTGACTTAGAAAGTCAGAGCTGGGAGGAGAAACCTGGAAGAGTCTCACATCAGAGAAACCTAGGGAACAGAGTTTTCAGAACCAGGGTCTGAGTGACAATGTGGAGAGCTACACAAAGGAAAGAAAATAAAAGACCAAGCGTGAAGAAAGGCTCCAGGCTGTGGAGGGTTTGTGCTCCACAAGTTACAGGAGGCTGCGGGGACAGAAGCCAGGCAACAGGGCCAAGGTGTGGCCTGGGGAGTGACGGATCATAAAGCCCCCTCTCGTGAGAAACTGGGATAATGGAAGGAGAGACTAAAAGAGTGTTAGCTAAGAAATTAGAAAAGGGATTTTTTTTTTTTTTTTTTTTTTTTTTTGCGGGTGGGATTCGACCGTGTTTTTCTGCAAGGAGAAGAGTCTGAGAAACGTGCCCTAGGCCTGTGCAGGTTCCATTCCAAGCACGTCCAAACAGCACACATGCTTCCAAACAGCACACACGCTTCCCTCCATGCACCCCCAGGTGGGAACTGTGGCCACAGGTCAACGCTTCTCTTCCCTGCTGGACCATTTGTTCACCACAGGCACAAATCTGCTCTGTCTTGTTCACCAACTGACACTTAGAAGAGGCTCAAACCTGGTCATTGGCTGGGGACTCAAGACAGAACAAGGAGTGTTCCCACTACCAAGCTTCCAGAACAGGAAGGAAAGTTGGAACGGAGAGCAGACGGAGCTCAGCCAGGAGAAACACGAGGCCAGCTGAAGCCAGTGGGCCTGTGAGAAGGAGGGCTCCCTGCCTGGCACCAGGGCTGCAGTCCCTTGTTGAAGTGCATGCAGAGGCAGGGTCTGGGAATGCTCATTCCCACCTTGTTGCCTCATGAGCACGCCCCATGCAATTCTGGGCACCACCCTCAGCAACAAGACTAGCTCTCAGCCACCCTCACAGCTCGGCGTGGCACGGACGTGCTGATCTTATGGTCAGAGGGACAAGGGGAAGTGCTGCGTAGACTCCAACTGGCAGGGGCGGATCTTTTGTCCTTTCCTTCTCCTTCCTGCAGCCTGGAACTCAAACGAGAAGGCCCGGGCTCCGGCAGCCACCTTTGGCTATGGAGTAATCTTGAGACACAGACACATGCAGGAAACTTTAGTATTAAAGTAGGAGAAGCCCCGTTCTTCTCTGACTTCATAGAGCCGTTGCACTTTATGGTAGCCTGGTTGCTTCCTTCTGGACTTTTTCTGACAGGAGAGAAATTAAACACCTGTCTTACCTAAGCCAGTATTATGTTGAATTTTCTGTTACATGCGGCCAAACTTAATCTTTACATTAATGCTACAACATTAATGAAACTGCTAGGAGAAGCTGCCTTGCCAGGCTCCCCGGTGGCTGCCATCACATCCAGCACCCGGTTTCTCAAACTTCCCCACACCCACCACAGAAAAGCAAGAACTAGGTACAGTATCTGGCATTCTGTAGGCACTGATGGTCATGGAATTCAGTCTCTCTGGTGTATTTTAAGTTGCCATTCAAAAATAAAGCACTCAGGTAATATAAGTGAATTTTGATTAAATTACAAGTAACAATTCCTATTCGGGTTGATAGAGCTCTTTCTTTAAAAAGGCTGAATTTTATCTCCTTTTATAGAATTAAAGTTTTTACTTTTCATTTGTGATGAGCTGAATTTTCAGGCTGATGAAATAAGTCACTGATATTTACCACACAGGACTTAATCAAAAAGAAGCTTAGGTTTCAATGGTGGGTTTCCTTTTTGGGCATGGACCGTGGTTTTATAGTGGAAAGCTTTGTAGCTTGGCTCACACTGATGTCCGCTGCTCCTCACATGTGCGTCTTATCTTGGAGGCTGGGCTCCTCCGTAGGTTCTCCTGCCAACAAGCGAGACAGAAAGGAGGCGGCAGCTGGGGGAACTCAGCCTTCCTTCCCACCACACCTGCACCTTGCTGAGCCACTGCTCCCAAGACGAGGCACAGAATTCCCAGAGCAGCCTGGCTTCAACCTACTCATTTGGTGTTCTTTAAATTAAAAAAAAAAAAAAAAAACTTCTGGCAAATCGTGGTGGCTCACGCTTGTAATCCCAACACTTTGGGAGGCTGATGAAGGTGGATTGCTTCAGCCCGGGAAGGAGTTCCAGGCCAGCCTGGGCAACATGGTGAAACCCTGTCTCTATAAAAGAAATTCAAAAGTAATCCAGGTGTGTTGGCACGTGCCTGTAGTCCCTGCTACTCGGGAGGCCGAGATGGGAGAATCAGATATCTGAGCCTGGCAGTTTGATGCTGCAGTGAGCCAGATTGTGCCACTGCACTCCAGCCGGAGCAAGAGAGCAAGATCTGTCTCAAAAAAAAAAAAAAAAAATTTTCTTACATCACTAGTTTTCTTGCATGGCCTATGAGTTCCCATCCACTCTGTAAGCCTTTATAAGTGTTATGGTGGGATCCAAGTATAAGCTCTGAGTTACTGTCTCATTCTCCCCCGTTCACTTACAGATGACATTCTCGCAGACCAGACCAGCAAGTCTCCTTGCCCGAGGCCACACAGGCAGGAACCGCCAGGCACCCCGTCCAGTGTCCCAGCCGAGCCCTCCTGGGAGGTTCCTGTGTGCTGGACACATGCCTGGCTGGCTATTACCTGTGTAGTTTATCCAGTGGTTACACTGACTTGAAGTGGTCTTTCTGAAGACGACATTGACTTTGAAATTACTTGCATTATCCAGTGATCAGCTCTGGTCATTGTGATCCTTTCCAAGCCATACATAATTTTGGGTTTTGCTGTGGCTGCTGACCAGCATCTCTGTTTAAGAGACTGAGCTTTGTGCTAGAGATTCTGGTTTTGATGCATTTCCTAGGCACGCCCACTTCTCCAGTAGAAAGCCAGGAGTGAGTCCCTCACCGAGCTGATCCTTGTGAAGATGAACAGTTCTCTCCATTTGTGTTTAGTGACAAGTATGTTCGTTAAAATATCACGAAGCCTTCACAAGATGTTCTACTAACTAGTTCGAGACACAGCTTGTATACTGTGCACTGAATGAGTTTGCATAGGTTGTTACATAGATTATCATACACCTATAATAAATAGAGTATGGAAAACACTGCTAAAAAGTTTCAATGAGGACCAGGTGCAGTGGCTCACACTTGTCATCCCAGCACTTCGGGAGGCTGAGGCAGGAGGATCGCTTGAGCCCAGGAATTCAAGGCTGCAGTGAGCTATGATTACGCCACTGTACTCTAGCCTGGGCAACAGTGATACTCTGTCTCAAAAAAAATAAAAATAAAAATTCATTGAGTTTAAGAGGGGTTTTTTGTATGGTTACAAAAAAAAAGCAGTTTAATTCCTTTACTCTTATGAGCCACTTATTTGGTTCTTCAAACATGTAGAGGCCAAAAAGGCACTGTTTCTTTAGGTTAAAAAAATGGGCAAAAAATCTGATTTTATGTTTCTTTTCTCAAAAATTATTCACTAATTATTAACAGCAAACGCTGCGTCTCCTGGAGTCACCAG
This sequence comes from Homo sapiens, assembly GCF_000001405.40. Lineage (NCBI taxonomy): Eukaryota > Metazoa > Chordata > Mammalia > Primates > Hominidae > Homo > Homo sapiens. The sequence continues at coordinate 163,180,869 of NC_000006.12, forward strand.
GCACCGAGCGTTGTGTGTGTTTCACCCGCTTGGCGTTTTCATTCTCATTTCATGTATTTGAAAGCTGGGGCTCCGTACAGTTATGACATTGACCCAGAGTCACTCAGATTGCAAATGACAGAGCCAGGGTGTGAACCCAGATAGGTCAACCTCAGCCTGAGTGTCTCTAACTCTTCAGGTTAACAGCCTTCTCCGGATACCAAAGCAGCACTAAACCATCTATTCAGCTGTGCGGGCACCTGTGTGGGATAGAAGGGGCTGAGGGATCCTGCTGCCACATTGATAACTATCGCTGGAACCAGGGTCTGAAACCGAGTCAGACTGACCCTGAAACCTACTTGCCTGACCATTTTACTCCCATACCTCGGGCTATCTTGCAAAGGAAGGGTTAAAGAATACGTGATGCAACCTCCTGAAACAGGCAGCCTAGGAACTTTGACCCACACACTCAGCCCCGATCTCTGTGGCCACCTCTGTGATACAGACGGCCGCTTGGGGACAGCAGAGGCTCAGGGGCAGTGAAAAGCAGTGCCGGGGCTGGAGATGAAAGAGCCAATTCTCCATTCTTCTGTGAGTCCCCGGAGATGAACACTGTGAACTTGTTCCCAGTCTCTGTGTCTCGTGCCAGCGGCCCTCCCCTCCCCCTTCCAAGGACAAGTCCACCCCCAGAGGATTTGCCCCTGGAAATGGGTCCTCATGGACAGGGGAGAATCAGAGATTATTTGCTTGAGGTGGCAAAAAAAAAAAAAAAAAAAAAAAAAAATACAGACACATCTCCGGCCAACCCTTTTTATAGATGTATTTTTGTTTTTTACAAACCAAATAGCAGAGGTTGATTATTAGTACAGTAGTTTGGGGTTTTTTCTCATCATTAACCACTTAGTTACTATAAATGTGTTTTAACTCACGGGGAAAAAGTCCAGCATACCGTAAAACCTGAGTCCCACCCAGCCAGCTCGGAATGGAAGGCTTCCAAGGCCCGGGAGGCGCGCTCTGTCAAGTTGCTGATTCGGGAGATAGCAGTGAATCGGGGTTCCACCACGCCCCCAGAATACTATTCACAGCAGCTTTGTCATTGACCGTTCTCCCTTTTGGACGAGATCTGAAACAAAGCTTCCAATCACTTCCGATCCTAATAGCGTTACCTCTCTTAGGTAGGGTGTAAGGATTCTTAGTCAAATTTCAACTCAAGTAGGTTACCTAGGAACATTCTTAGGGCTTAACCTACTTAGTTCTTCTTGCGGTTTCAGTTGAAAGTGATAGACTCTTCCAGGCTCTTTGTGTTCCACGGTCCGGTGGTGAAATCACTGCTATCTCTCCCTCCTTAGAGAGCCCACTGCTTCCCACCAATGAGTTAAGTAGTTTTTCTTGCCCATTTCTGCAAATTTGTGTTCATAAAATCAGTTGATGGATGAAAGTTACTGAAGAAATTGCTAACAATTTCGAGGCTTTCCTTAAATTGATAGTTTGTTTTACTTTATTCTAGTTCTCAGTGGAAACAAAAGGCAAGAATGATCTTTGGAATGTTCTGTTTACAAAATCAACCCAAACAAGATATAGATGAGACTCATTGTCTTCCTCCAGAATAACAATCGCCTTTAATTTCTGTGCTGCTGAAACAGTCACAAGAGTCATGATAGATCCAGAAAGAGACCCTTGGTGCTTCATGTGGTATCTTTCTTTAGTACGGGTCTCTTTTACATTCAGCAGGTTTCATTAGAAAAAAGAATTTCAAAGTATTTCATTAACAAAATTGAGAAAATGCGTATTTAAACATTGACATCCTTATGAAAGAGTAATTTCTTACATAAATGTAGCATTTTCACCTATGTTACCTCATTTAATCTTCAGAACTAATCTTAAGTTGCAATTTCACAATTTTATAGACAAGGAAATGGAAACTCATAGATGTTAATTCACTCGTTCCGGGCCACGGAGGTGTACTTTTTAGAGCATAGTCTTATTTAATGGTCTTGACTCTAAGTCCAAAACAGAAGCCTCCACTTTGCTGAGCACCAAAAGATCGGGAGATGAGTCAGTGTGTGAGTCCCAAGAGGAAGAGAATCTGCGGGTCCTTAGCAGTTAAGGAAGCGTCATGAAACATTTCTTGAAGAATGGATAGGATTTAAATAGTTTAGAAGATGCAGTCTTGAAACTATGTGGGTGATCCAGGTTGCATGAGCAACAAATATTTGTTGGACAATTGAAGAGTGAATGAATGAGGACGGAGGGTGTCTGAGATCAGGAAAATGATCTGGGAAGGTATGAAGGCAAACATTCCCACGACGTGTTCGGGGAACCGTGAGTAGGAGCCACTGGCTCTAAGAGAGTGTCCCTCTGGACAAGTAGAGAGAGATGGACTGCCATGGGTGCTCTGGGGGCTCGAAGGGCATGGAAGGGCATGGAAGGCCAGGCTAAAAAGTGTTGATTTTGCCTTACAGATTAGGTCAGGTCTTCATTGCTTTTGACTAAGGAACTTTATCCTGAAGACAAGATCATGGGAAATCATTGACAACTTGTAGGACATGATATGACCAAACTCAGTGTTTTAGGAAGATGAGCAGGGAGTGAAGCACAAAACAGATGAAGAGTGTGTGTTGACTCTGGTTTTAGGAACTCACCCTGTGCCTCTCTAAAGCTTCTGTCAGCTCTTCCCATCAGTGGGAAGCAGATTTAGAGGCCAAGCTGCCTAGAAGACATAGGGTTAAAGAAAAAAAAAAGGAAGAAAAAGAAATGCACCTTTAAAATTTCCCAACCTTGATTTATACCTACAGAGATGTATGTGTGGTCACTCCTTTTATTAGGGTTTTTAAGCTAATCAGTAGGCTTGACTAAAGAATTGTAAAACTTTCACTACAAGAAAAATTAAAAGAAGTCATTTCCTGTATCTAAAATGATCACGTATACTTCTGAAATTAGGAAAACGCAGGCCAATGATAAAAATATAACTGTAACGAAACTGTAGGTTTTTTACTGATTGTATTACACAATATTTCCTTTTGGATTCTTAATACAAAGCAATGCAACACTGGTTTGGTTTAAAATAAAATATGGAGAGATTCTTGTTCTGTAGGAAGCTCATCACTCTAATGGGTGTCTTACTCACTGGAACAGTATTTTGGCTGTACTGGAGCACATCGAAAGGAATGAGATTTAGCTTTGCCAAACTTCCACTGTGAAAGAGTTTGCTACAACAGTGTTTTATTTTATTCTTATTGAACTTCAGCCAGTTGAAAATAGAATCTCCTCACCATCCTTTTAAATTAGCCTTAAGCTGCAGATAAAAGACAAAAATCAATGTGCAAATTTAGCTCCTTGTGCTCGGTTCCTTAAGAAATTTACCCCAGTGCTAATATGCAGGATGCATAGATAATAGAACATAGAGTAACTGGAAGTTTTAAAGTAGCATTTCTTGTTCAGTTTAGGTCTACTTAAGAGTCTGGTAAATCCTGTACATAAATTGTTTCTTTAATGCTACATTAAAGACAGTGCATCTCTTTATACTGTCCATACTAGCTCAGTAACACTGCCCCTGATAACATTTCATGTGGCCATGACAAATTATGGTGAAATTTTCAGTGTCCAATTGGAATGGAAATTGCTAGAAAAAAGCGGTGCCTAAATAATGGTGCAATTCTATTTATTCCATTTCACTAAGAATTACTAAGGGCTTCGAAAACCCAAATCGAAAAAGGAAGCACATAAACAATGTTCGTATTGGCCATACTAGCTTGAATGTCTCTAATTGTTCTAAGTGGTACAGGTGCTATGAGCTCCTAAGAATATCCCTGTGTTTGAGAGGAGTTAACTCAGAGCCTTGGGTTGCTTGCTGTCCTGCCGCACTGCACGAGAAAGGTTAGCAACATAAAGAAATGCAACTTTGCCTACTTCAGGCATTAATATAAAGAAACCTACGTACAGGCACCCAGAGACACAAAAAGAGAGAGAAAGCTCACCATTCTTGAAAAAGGCAGTTCTGCAGGCTCCACAAACAAGTACACCAGTGAATGGGAATGATAAGAGGAGAACAATTTGGTTACATTCAGAGACCTGGTGGGCAAATGGAAATGGGACAAGCAGTAGAAATTAGGCCAGATCATGGAAGATTTGTTTTGTTTTGTTTTCATGGCATGATACCTGCAAGGCCAGGAAGGCTGAAGCCAGAACACCAATGCAATTAATTAGCAGAAACCAAAAAGTAATTAATTTAGCACACCACCATATAGGGCAGAAGCAAATACTGCTGTTTGTAGCCAGGGATGGGGAAAGGATCTAACCACACTCCAGGCACCTCTGCACATGGCACCACAGAGAGAAAGATGGAGGAGGAGTGCAGCCGTACGCTGGGAGTCATCACAATTGTTTTTTTACCGATAAAAGCAAGTGGGAACAATTGGCCAAAACAAGCCTGGATTGTAGTAGAAAATTAAGCTAAGAAAGAAAGATCAGGGGACATTGTGATAAAACAATCCACGTAATTTCTATAACATGGATCCAGCTTAATAAGATGTCCTGAAGTTCAGCATGAGTAAAGTTCCAGGACAGTTCAGGGTTGTCATAGGAAATCTACATTTTTCAAATTAACAGGACTTAAAGATGTTACTGTTACTTCAACACTTGGTAAATTTCACTGCAAATATATAAGCCATTTTAAAGGAAAGTATTAGATAATCAAAGAATTCGTTAAGAAAAAGAACAAATTGAGTGCCCACAATATAAATGGTGGCCCTGCTGCAGATTAGTTCCCGATGCCTGAGATAAGATGCTGGAGGAAATCGCGGCATCATCAATTTAATCCCACACAAAATGCAAGCGACCACCTTAGCTTAGTTGCAGTTGTGGTGGGCATGAACTTCACAGGGGCATAATTGAAGGCCAAAATTAAATGCTCTTTATTTCTCTGTATCTCCGTGTAATGTCCTGATCCTGAGCCCCAGACTGCCTCATGGGTCCAGTAGGGATGCCTCTCAGCAGGTTGTGCATCGGGAGAATTTTGCTGCATTGAGCTCCAGAGCTGCTTCCCTGTGTCTCCTCTCCCACTGCTGACCCCACCCCCATCTACTCTAAGCCCCAGCAAATCACCCCAGCACTCCCAGGCAGTGAGTGGGGGAGGGCGTGCCCCCTCCTCTCTCTGTTTTGGTCCAGCCTATATGTCACAGGGCTTCTTTAAACAGTGACTGGGCCTTTCTGCTGGCCTTCACTTAACTCTCAGCTCAGCTTGCAGGCACCCTCTGAGACGCAGGCACTGCCCCCTTATAGAATCTGCATAGTGGGCTGCCTAGCCAGGGGGCTTCGTTGTGTGGCCTTTTCTCTGGCAGGCTTTCAGATTTCCCCCTTCCCCCAAGAATGGAGCCAAGGGGTGGACCCCAACATAGCCTGCTGGCTGCAAAGCTGCACACGCCTGGAGAGCTGCTGTCCAATGGCAAATGGAAGCAACATTCTCATTGTCTCCACTCTCAGACACCCTCAGATTACTGAGGGAATTCTCTCGTGTGCCCCCTTCAACACACAGGCAGACACAGATACACACACACAGACACAGACACACACACACACGCAGACACAGACACACACACACAGACTACTTGTCATTCTAAACTTGCCACCTCTGTCCTCAGCATGGGGCCAGTGTGGTGGAGAGGCCTGTTTTGCCTGGCTGTGCCCACAGTCTCATCTCTCCCAACTTAGATTCTTACTAAGAGTTGGAACTCTTGATTCCTCTGGCCGCTTCTGGCAGCCTCTTCCCCTGGACACACCCTATCTCCCTGCCCAGTGGAGCCGTCGCGTGCAGGTGTGCATCTCTCACTCCTGCCGGACCAGGCGCTCCCTGGCCCCATCTCACAGACTAAAACATGAGGCTGTTCCTTTGCTTCCGAGTAGTTTGATGTCATTCAACCCAGCATGCATTTCCTCTCCACCGCTCTGCTCCCTCCCTGGAGGTGCTTCTGTTCCTACCCGCTGAGGGGCACAGTCAGGAGGTATTTAGTCGGCCTCCCGTCGCCCTCACCGCACACACAAGACCAATTTGACGGTTGTTTGGGGGCATCCACTCCTGGGGCTCTTGACATTTTCCCCGGGCTCTGCGCCATCAGCGCCCTTTCCTGCCCCCACTTCACGGGCTCTGTCTCCTCTCCAGGCACCTGCTCTGCAGGGAGGGAGACACCCCCCGTCCTCAAGCTCCACAGGGTCCCGGGTAATTTCATCCGTTTCCCTTCCCTATCAGTGGCTCCCAAATCTGTTTTTCTCAAAGTCTGTTTTCCTCTGAACACCAAATCACAGTTTCAACTGTATGTGATACAACACCTGAACCTCAGGATGGCCTAAATTGAACTCATTATTGACTTCTCACATCCGCTCCTCCGTTGTATGCCCAACATCCCTCCATAGACTGATCTGTTCGCGGCCTCTGCTGGAACCTCAGTGTCACCTTGGACGCCACCCTCGCCCACCCTACCCACGCCAGTCAGTGCACCCAGGCCTGTGCAAGTGGCCTGTGAAAGGCTTCTGTGCTCGCCGCCCGCCTTTCCAGTGGCTCAGGACTGGCCCCATCTCTTTGCAGCACTGCTGAGAACGCCTCTCAACTGAGAGCCCGCGCTCCTCCCCTCCATGAATGTATCTGCTTTCCACCCCAGACTTCATCATGGTGCTGCAACGTTGACAGCCCCGTCACCTGCAGAACCATCCAAACCCATCGGCAGCACACAGAGACCCTGCTGGATTTCCCAGCCCCGAATCCCACCTTTTCTACTTCACCCTCTTTTCTACCTCACTCAGTGGGTTTCCCATCCCAAAGTGGATTCTCACCTCCATGGTGTATCAAAGTCCTACTCCTTCTCCCAGGTCCAAAAGAGCTTCTCTGGGGAGGAACCCCAGCATCCCAGGCCATGAGTCAGGACTCTCCTCCAGCACTGCTGTGACGCGGCACGTGACCCCACCTGCGCACTTAGCACCTCCTGTTACGCGCCTGTCCGCTGATCTGCGCCTGTCATCACGTGAAGAGCTCCAGGGAGGCCGGGCTTTCTCCCAGTCCCCTTTATATTCCTCGGGTCTAGGGCATGCCTCACACTAAGTCAATACCAAATAAATTGTCCACTCTTCAACAAGGCAGGAAACATGAGGGGAGAGTTAAAAAGTCCCAAAATGAGCATATCTCTTTGAAACACCCCTTACAATATTAGTTTTTAAAATTCTACTTGTTGAGCTATGTTGGAGTTGTGTGGGTTTATATGAGTATCTTTTCCTACAGGGAACTATGTGATCTGTGCAAATAGAGTCCCCACACACAGGACTGGTTTGCATCAGAACATCGGGGAGGCAGGAGCCCCAAGTCAACCATTCTTTGTATAGAAAAAGCTCTCCCAAGTCACTCTTTTCTTTGGCATGTGCATAGTCATCTTTTACCAAATGTTTAGTCAGTATCAAATTCATTTGCTACTGGAAAACCTGTTTTGATGACAGTTGTTGCTAAAAACCTGTACCTGATCAAAATGATTGAGCTTACTAACTCTAAATTAAGGAGTGTCTATTTAAGCCCCCGAAGCTACAGTAGAAAATCTAACGTCATCTCTTAGAGGTGAGCTTGTTAAAATACTGACGTGATGCCTTTGTGAGTCCACCGTCTCCTTTATAAGAATCAGGCCACTGATCCTCAGGCCTGAAGGCTCATCTCTTGGGAAATAGAGGTCACACCAAGGGTTTGGTCCGTGAGTGAGAAGGTCGTCTCCAGCCTAGAAAGGTGAAGACTCTTTGATTCTACAGTTCTAAAGCGTGGCCTGACCGTTTTATTTTAGTGGCCTTTCTCACACTTTGTCTAGTTTCATTTTTGTTACATAATCTGCATAAAAATTCCCTCAGTAGTTACAATTGCAGTTTAGTTCATGTCTGACTTGGTGTGTCGTTCTGTTGTGTTTGAGATCTGAAAAACTGTCGTCATTGCCCATCCAGATAGCATTCAGTAGAGGGGAAAGGATTCCTTTGTACAAAGCAAGCATGGGCTTAGGATATTTCCACATACTATTCATTTGCAGACATTGACTAAGAACAATTAGGAATGTACGCTAGAACGTGAAAAACATCTTTTACATTTGGATCCATCTTGTAAGTGACCAACATACTTTTCTTTGAAAAAATAGAGCCCATACGTTTGTGGCCTAACAAGACATGAGAGGATAATTGATTAAAATGTCAAAGGTGGTTGGGGAATGCTGAGATGGAATGATACTGCAGGAAAGATTTCGCAAAAACAAATTAAAGTGGAAATTACAATTCATGTATAAAGCCCGTTTGTATGATCAAAGCAGGCATCATCTGTACTGCTAAGTTCTACGTATAACATAGTTTTGTTAAAGAAAAGTCAGGCATGAGATGGACATAAGGGATTTGCTGACAAATGCATAACAGCTCTAATGACTAATTTTGGTTTTAGTTAGTGCAATTCTGTAGGTGGACATTTAGCCAGTTTGTTAACAAGGTGTTTTAAGAATGTCTTCCAGGACAATTTAAAAAAAGAGAGAATTATCTTCTCTTACAGAACAATGAAAAACAGAATTATCTTTCAGGGATGGATGTTTATTACATAACCTATTGGAGAATAATGGAAGGGAACTAGATGCCTTATGCCCAGCTTATTCATTATCTGATACCTTTAAAGGCTGAATGGCATTGCCAATTATTCATTGTGGCAGGGGCTGCCATCAATTTTTAGCTTACAGATTGCTAGTTTCTCCCGTGTTCTCTTCCATGAAACAGCAACATACTCCATTTTGTTCTCTATTTAAAAATTTTACATTGCAGCCCTCCAACAAATTAATTCCATTTAGGTTTCTTCGGGAAGAGATACAAATGAGTTTTGTGAAAGTGTACTTAAATGCAGCCATCCAGCCATCAGCATCAACAGGCAGTCAGCTGTGCCCAGTGCCATGCGCCTGATGCCCGTGACTGACAAGGGCCCGCATTCACTGTCCCGGGCTTATGTGAATGCTGACACACTGGTCACCGCAGGGCATACTGCTTGTTGCTGCTTAGTTCATGCTTGCACGGGCAGACCCCCAGGTGGCCTGTCATTTATTTCTATAAGCTAGGTCTGGTAACACCACAAAAGCAGTAACATTCATTTATATGAAGGAGAAGTACATAATCCAAAAATCAGAAAAATTACTTCTGATAGAAGAAACTAGGTTTCAAATGCGGGTCTTAATAATACAACTGGATTCCGATTGCATTACATTGGTTTTCTCTTCCAAATAATTGGCAAATGAGGACAAACAGCTCATCCCCATCCTAACAGGAAGGTCTGAATCTGAAGCCTTACCATCGGTGACTCATTAGGACCCCATTAAGAGCCAGAAAACTTGCCTAAATATAATACAAATCGAATCTTCAATGAGGACTACACATTTGTAAACTAAATTTGAAGTCCCCAAACATTTACAAGTACATTTGTTCTTCATAAGTACAGTCGTAAAGAAAAGCCCAGTCAGTGACAGTCAACCTTGAGCAACGTTGGAATATGAGGTTTGAAAGTGAAAATAGAGGTCGGCGCACAATCTAGTTAGTGCAGAGTTGCATTAGACACAAGTAGTCAGTGACCCCGATGCACGGAGGAAATTCTGAAGGTTCAACATCTGTCTGAAAATAATCGAAAGGCCCTGCCTAGCAGCACAAGGGACTTTCAAGAATGGGCTTTCCTGTAAATTTTGGATTTCTTTTCTTAGAGAAGGTAAAAATGACCTGCTTTCTACTTTTCTTCTGATTGGACTGCAATGGCCAAAAATATTTATAAGAATAAAAGTTAACAAAAACAGTCTAACCCGTCAGTTCAGAACCCTAGTAAAATTTGTTTTGGAGCCTAGAACTAGAATTGGGCAAAAGTGTAGGGCTCTTTCTCTTATACCAAAAAGCCCACTCAAATGTTCTGTGAGCCCGCTCCAAAGATAAAGTCAGAAACAACTTAACAACTTCGTCTTCTTTCACTGATTACTTCCCTCGTGTTCTGTCTATTGCTGATGATGTCCTGACAAACAGCTCCAAGCACACTCACCCAGTGCCCGTGTGCAGCATGCAGACCACTTGTCACCCAATCCATTTCTGAGGGATGACTGTGTTCCTGAAACAACTGAAATCAGAAATCCCTTATTTAGCATTTATTAGAATACTGAATTTAAAATATTACATATTATCATTTGAAAAACAAAACAAACAAACAAAAAACCTGTTACTTAGATTCAAGTTAAAAGAGGGACTATGTATTCACCCTTAGTCCAGGAGAACAGCTTAAAATATGAGCACCTTTTCCTAAGCCATTCCACTTAAATGGACACTAGACCTCAAAATTGCAAACAATAAATACATAAATAAAAGCAATAATTAAAAAACTAACTTCACCATCATCCCTTCCCGCCACCCCCCAAACCTACTTCCTTCCCAGGCTTCAGATGAAATTTCTATGAATGATCCCACCCAGTCTCATTCCTCAGCTCAGTGTCAAGTTCCAGTGTCCTCTGATCTTCCCTTTCTCTGACCCCCACACCTTTATGGCGAGTGGCCCCCCAACGCCACGAGGCCTTTCCCCTTCACTGCTATGGCCGCTTTCTGCACCACCCTTGGGGGAGGTCACAGCCTCTCTGTGACCTAAGCTCTCTCCTCTCTAAAGAGAAGGCATCCACTTAGGTGGTTTATAGGGTTTCTCCTAGCTCAAGGATCTTGAGTGTATCGTTGAGCTAAGATACACTCACGAGCTGAGACCTCCTGACTCAGGCACTGTGGCTGCACTCCACCAGGTGACTTATCTGTGGACCACACTCCACGTGGCCATCTGTGCCTATGCTCTTCCTCCACCCATCCACCAAAATGCCATCTTCTCCACTCCCACTCAGAGCCATGACGTCCCTCTGCCCCCAGGTTGTCCAGGATCCTCTCATCTTCCATTTCCAGCCACCTTTTTTCTCTAAACCCTGTAACACTTCATAGGAGTCCCTCCCAATGAAAGCCACACCCCGCCTGGTGTCTCACACCCCAAAGCAGACTGTAAGCTTCCTGAAGACTGTCCTGCTCCTCAATGTCCCATCCCCTCCCGAACTGACCAGCGGTGCTATCTACGGGGAAGCACCGGGGCAGTTGTTGTTGAATTGATTTCAGTTAATTCAGTTTTTAACTGAATCACACAAAGGATGTCACAAGCTAGCTTTTATAACTAAAGAAAGCACAGTTGTGCAGCTGCCTCCAGAGTCTCTGGGGGTTAGAGGGAATGAAATAGGGAAAGTCCCCAGAAGCCAGCTGACTGCTGCTCAAACCAGGTGCAGGTTGGGAGAAAATCTGTAGTGAATGAAGGAAAATGAAATGCACAGTGGAAAAGAATACCAACATTCTTGCAAAGGAACCTTAAAGTATTATTTTTGCAAAGAATGCAAGGATTATTTCAGTTCCCTTGTTGACTGTTTTGTATGGTCTTCCTACAGATACTTTCAGAAAAAGATCTATTGTTTGTTTTTCTCTGTGCTGACACAGTATCCATTGTTTAGAACTGTAATCATAGCACACATAGTTGAAAATGTGGGCTCGGGGACAAGCTGTATTTTCCCCTCTGGTTCTTTAGACAGTGAATACTGTGTTCTTTATCTCTTATCACAGCTCTTTTGTCAAACATTTAATGATTTTTTCCCCCAGACAAATTTGTAGTTTGTTATCAACCATAAAAATGTCTATTGCCTTATTTTTAAACATTTAAACTTTGGTAAGTGTGTCTCAAGATGAGCATGAATTAAGGTGTTTATTTCATTTTAAATACTTTTTTTTATCATAGCGTACAAAGCTAGAGTTCTCTGACATGGATGGCTTATGTGGATCTCTATTTAGACTTGATGAGAGAACATTTTATTTTTGTACTGTGTGTATTTGCAGGGAAGATGGTTAGGCTGACTGGCTCCCAGGTTGGGTGTGTTGGGAGCATCTGTCAAGGGTTGGACAGGTGCAGACATCTGTGACGTCCTGCAGTAGGCAGCCATCACTCGATTTCCTGCTTAAAAAGATCTGACACACTTCTTCACTCCTTGGATCTCCATTTTTTCCAAATGCCCGATACTTCTTACCATTCTACAACCCTTAAACCGGATCCCAAAGTCTGTGAGAGATAAAAGCCTTTTTTAAACCCAATAAACAGTCACTCTTTGTTGTTCCTGGTTTTAAAATGACAATTTATTGCTTGATACAGACATTTGAAGCCTATAATTCAAATGAATATTTATAAAAATAAATTTCAAGCACACTGGCATGTAACTGCAGGGTAATTTTTAAATATTCATTTTTAAGGTGGTGATAGAGTCTAGAAAAATTTTAATGTGCCACGTTATATTTTATAAATATCCAACTATAGAAATATGCCTTGTGTGCTAATCATTTCCATAAGGCTTCACTTAGATTGAGAGAGTGAAAATGGGTGTCAGTCTTTCAAATATCCAGAGGAAAAACTTTCATTTTGTTTTAAATTTGTTTTTGAGGGCTGAATTTAAACTTAAGACAATGTATGAAGAGTTAAGGTCAGAGTTGGTACTTTCACCACTATTCCATTTGTATTGCTTTAAATTCTCTGATTAAGTGTGGAAAACTATCAACAAGGCGATTGTTCCCAGGGGCTGCCCGGCCAGAAATACCGAGACTGACCATTTTTAAGAACCCAGTGCTATGTGCGGAACAGGGCGGCATGGTGGCCTCCTGAGAACTGGGAGGGAAACACTAAATGAAGACGTGAACACATGGGATTTCTTTCTTTCTTTATTTTTATTAAATAAAAAATATTTTTATTTTGTTATATTGAACTCGACAAATTTTCCTCAGAGATAATTTTTGTTTCAATATTCAAAGTTAGAAATTGTACCAGCCCGTCATAGTTTGAAAGTATTCCTAAAAGTAATTCAAATAAAAATGTATTTTAAATGTAGTACACATTTTAAACATATTGGAGAAAACATAGAATCAGAGACTTTTTCAAATCCATGTTGGACTAGGAAACTGTTTCTTTTTGTTTCTTTTTTTTTTTTTTTTTCCTGAGATGGAGTCTCATTCTGTCACCCAGGCTGGAGTGCAGTGCCGCGATCTCGGCTCAGTGCAACCTCCACCTCCTGGGTTCAAGCGATTCTCCTGCCTCAGCCTCCCGAGTAGCTGGGACTACAGGTGTGGGCCACCAAAGCCGGTTAATTTTTGTATTTTTAGTAGAGACAGGGTTTTGCCATGTTGGCCAGGCTGGTCTCAAACTCCTGACCTCAAGTAAGACTGTTTCTTAATACTAATCAGATTTGACAACAGATGAGGCCATCTGTGATGGAGGTTCTGCGCCCGATTACACATTCCCCTGTAGCTCATAGACTCAGTGCTCCTTTCTACAGAGGAGAGATTCCATAGTCAGTGTTCCTGGGGTTCTGTTTTTACTTTTGAAGTTCCAGAACTTAGTTTCAGTTCTTCCTCTTGATGTCTCTCTTTTGTTCTCTCCCCCTCTCTCCCTCCCTCCCTGTCTTTTCTCCTGTCTCCCTGTCACCCTCCTTCCCTCCTTTCATATCTTTCTTTCTTCATCTTGTTATTTCCATCTGTCTGCCTTTCCCAAGGCAGGAAACCCCGGCGCCTCCAGGCTGGTGGTGTCTGGCTCTGGGCTGCACAAGCCACAGGCCACCTGCCATCAAGCACAGAATGGACTTGACGGGGACCCTGACAGCCAGTCATTCCTGGGACTAGATAGGGTGCAGCCGGGGTGTCCGAGGTGTTTGTAGTCATAGTGGCATACCTACACTGAAGAGGACAGCTTTTTTGTAAGCGGTGGTTGCTTCACTCATCAAAATAGCCTATTTGTGAAGGCATCAATGTGCAAGTATTTTGGAGCAAGTAAAATCAGTCCTGGAGATTAGAACATGCAGGCCTACTGGGCCACAGGAATGGGGCTGCCTGTTGAGACTGGAGTGCAATGCCCCCCAACCCCACGCCTGCTGTTCTTCCCTCTGCTCTTCTCCCTTCCCACCTCCTTCACTCTCCCCTCCTTCCCCACGCCCCTCCCTCCCTTTTGGTCATCAGTGCACTTTGCAGGCATCAGATATTTGGGGCTCTTCAAGTGCCTCCCCTCTACATCGGTGTCCACGGGCTTGCTGAACAGTGAGCCTCTCCTCCCTCCTGGGACTGGTCCTCTTCAACTTGAGCCTTGATCTGGAGTCGATGGTAGAGGGAGTCCACTTCTCTTGACCCCGACTCTCACCATGTCAAAAGGAGGTGATGTTTCCAAAGGTAGCAATTGAAGGAGCCTCTTTATCCCCCCATAACAGAGAAAGCATCGGGGATGCCTTGGCCTCTCAGCCACGCTTTGATGATTGGCATTTGATTGTTCTCACATTTCATTATCGTGAACCACTAATAATGTTGGCTAATTGTTTATTTCATTTATAATTCCTTAAATCTCCATCTAGTCTTGAAGCTGTTGCATCCAAAGAGAGTGCTGCCAAAGAGAAGTTTAACCACAGGTGCCGCCCTGACCACACTTCCAAGACTATCTCCTCATGTGGGTTCTCCTTACATCATACATTTGACCGTGAAACCCATGAAGACAGGCGTCCAATGGAGAGGAGTGTTGGAGGCCTCTTCCCTTTCCACATGGCCCTAGAGCCCAGTGTTTTCAATGTGGTGTGACTCCCTTTTCCAGCGGCGAAATCGTTCCCCCGCTTCCCAGAAGTGTGCTTTAAAGACATTTTGTGATAAGGGAGTGCAGGTAGGAAGGGGTCTAACCTCCCCCAGGGCTCCCTGCGCCTCGGCGGCTGAGGAGGTGGCAGTGGAGGCCGCCCGACCCCCCTCTCAGCCTCCCTGTGCTGCGTTCCCTGCCCTGCCGGGAAATGGAGATTCTGCGCCTAAAGACACACAGTCACGCTGCTTTCAAAGTTTCAGTTCCCACGGCCATTCTAAAATGGCCCCTGGAGAGCTCTGGCTTCCTCCTGCGCCCCTTCCCGCGCCCGCCCCTGGGTGTCTCCGCTGGCTCCCCAGCATCTCCTCCCAGCTCGGGATCTCTCTCACTCATTCCTCCCTCCCTGATTCTCGCCTCCATTCTCCCGCTCTCCAGCAGGGCGCAGCTCCCTCTTGCTCTTTCTGGAGAAGCAGGGATCCCAGAGACCCCCTACGAGCTGGTTCCCTCCCAGACCCCGTCCCTCCAGTCGCTGGCTCAGTTTCCTTCAGTTTCCTCCAGCTCATCTCCTGCCCACCTCAAAAGCAACAGGTCCAAGATCCCAATCAGCATTTCTCGCACAGCGTTTCCGCGAGAACGTTCCCTGATCATCTAGAGTTAGGGAAGTAGAACCGTGCCCTGCACATGATAAGCACATGGAGACTCTAATCAATGAGAGCTACTATGATTGCTGCTCACGGACAGCGCCCAACAGCTCTGTTGTCCCTGCTAATGACACCGTCGTCCCTCCCCTGGTCAACCACGACCCAAATGTTAAAGTGACCTTTCACTCTTTTCGCCAACATGTATCCGCTCCAAGACCTCTCCTGTCCTAGGGCTACTGGGAGCCTTACCTGTGGCCTCACCTTGCTGTGCAGCATTGGGGAGTTGCTGCTCTGCACCTTAGAGATGTCAAATGGGAAGAGTGACAGCTACTTCAGCAGGGTTTGAGGCAACATTAGGCAACACAGTGTAAATAAATTACATAACAATCTGCTTGGCACTTAGTGATGGTTCAATAAATGTTACCTGTTGTCGTCGTTGGAACTGTTGACAGAATTCAGTGAGACTTCAGTGATGGTTTCTTGAAAGAGTCACTTATCATATTCTGCAATCAAAGAAGGAAGAGAGGCCAAGAAATAAACAGATACATGTGCACATGACACAAGACCCAGGGTGAGCAGATGTTCAGAAGACAGAGCTAAAGAAAGACTAGAGAGACAGACAGACAGACAGAAAGACTAGACAGACAGACAGACAAATAGATAAACAGGTAGAAAGAAAGACTAGACAGATAGACAAATAGACAGACAAATAGACAGGTAGATAGATGGATAGACATGTAGACAGACTAGACAGACAGACTAGACAGATAGATAGATAGATAGATAGATAGATAGATAGATAGATAGATAGAGGCGGACAGACAGCTTGGTAAATGGGCAAATGATAGAAAATATAAATAAATATATGAAGGAGGGAGAAAACTGAAGCAGAAAAAAAGTAAGAAGAACTCGTGGTCATTTTACTAAACTTTTAAAAACTTGAACCTAAAATTTTCAAGATAACTTTTTTCTGCCAGGAAAAAATACATATATTAGTAGAATGTGTCAATACCTGATTTTTTCCACAGTAAGAGCATTTCCCTTTGAATACAGTCATAACTGGTTCTCCGTTAGTAGTAATCACAGCTCATCTCTGTGGATATTGTTGGTGCTTTCAGTTGCTCCAGTACACATCTATTTTGAAATCACCTTTAGCTATAAAGGAAGAAAAAAGAAATACCATCTGTAAATGCTTGCTCTAGAGGTGTGTCATAAAAGTACAGTCCCATTAACCTACTGTCCTTATGAAACTGGTGGCTATTTTCTTTTCTTTTCTTTTTTTTTTTTTTTTTTTTTTTTTGTGAGACAGGGTCTCACTCTGTTGCCCAGGCTGGAGTGCAGTGGCGCGATCTCGGCTCACTGCAAGCTCTGCCTCCCGGGTTCACGCCATTCTCCTGCCTCAGCCTCCCAAGTATCTGGGACTACAGGCGCCCGCCACCACGCCCGGCTAATTTTTTTTTTTCGTGTTTTTAGTAGAGACGGGGTTTCACCGTGTTAGCCAGGATTGTCTCGATCTTCTGACCTCATGATCCGCCTGCCTCGGCCTCCCAAAGTTTTGGGCTTACAGGCCTGAGCCACTGAGCCCGCCGGCTATTTTCTATTCTTATGTTAAATGTTCTCTCTTTACCTTCCATTTTAAGGGAATTGACAAGGGAGCAATTCAGAGCAGGGGTTATCTTATCTTTCAAAGGAACAGAACTGGCCACATCCCAGTAGAAAGTAGAAAGGATAGCATCCCTGTCCATGTCAGGAGCACAAAACAAAAAGTACAAAAATTGTGATGTAAACCACTTGAAACTTACAAGGCAGTACATAGGGATATAATGACTTCATCATCACTGATGCAAAGAGAGGTTTCTAGATACGTGTTTATCTGTGAGCCCCAGGTCCCCGCTAATCTGTGCTGATGTCTTGAGGAAAATTGGAGTGAGAGTAAAAACTTTGATTCACTCACATACTTTCCTTTTTCAAGTAGGCATTTCAGTCTAGCCTTGGACATGCATTAACCAAACGACTGGAACTAGTTATTCACTAAAGTGACCACAGATTTTTAATATAGTCTGCATCAACTGTTTTGATTATGAGAATTTTACTTCTCTTTTCTTGCTAATATAATGAGTCAAGATAGCTCAGTAAGTTAAAAAATATTCAGAGTTTGATTATTTGTTTATCATTTGTTCAAAAAACACCATCAAATACCTAGATTGTGAGATAAATGAGGAAATCATAGCACCATCTCCATACTGCTTATGCATCAGGCACTTGCTCTCAGCACTTTACATGTGTGTGTGTGATTTACAGTTGTGTGAAGTGGATGGTATCATTGTTCTCACTTTACAAATGATGAAAGTGAGGCCCAGAGATGTTAATTTGCCCAGGGTCACACAGTGAGAACGGGTGGATCGGATGGGCACCGAGGTTGTCTGGCACCAAGGATCTGTGTTCCTGTTTTGCTACATGTAGAAAGTGTGTTGCCTTGCCCATTAATGAGGTCCCAGCATCTGCCCCGGTGTTTGATAATAATAAGGGCTTAATGATCGTGAACCCAGAAAATCTGAGACAGGTCTCAGTTAATTTAGAAAGTTTCTTTTGCCAAGGTTGAGGACACGCCCATGACACAGCCTCAGGAAGTTGTGACGACGTGTGCCCAAGGCGGTTGGGGCACAGCTTAGTTTTATGTATGTTTTAGGGAGACACGAGACATCAGTCAGTACATGTGAGAAGTACACTGGTTTGGTCTGAAAAGGCAGGACAACTTGAAGCAAAGGCAGGAAAACTCGAAACAGGGAGGGGCTTCCAGGCCACAGGAGATGAAATGAAAGGTTACATTCTTCTGAGTTTCTGATGAGCCTCTCCAAAGGAGGCAATCAGATATGCACCTATGCCAGTGAGCAGAGGGTCACTTTGACTAGAATGGGAGGCAGGTTGGCCCTAAGCCGTTCCCAGCTTGACTTTTCCCTTGAGCTTAGTGATTTGGGGGCCCCAAGATTTATTTTCCTTTCACATGATCATGTACGGAATAAAGAAATAGATGAACACCCATGATGTTCAATGTACTCAATGAAGCTCTGAGTACTTAAAGAATAAGAATGATAAAATGTTTCCTGCCCTCAACTAAATTGCAGGCTGATTCTTGCAGCTTGAGCTAATTCATAAGAAACTAGAGATTCTAATCCACTTTCACCAGAGGGCCTTCAGCTAGGACAGAGGCTCCTCCAGGGTTTGTGTCAGCCGCTGTTCCAAGTGAAAAGTAGTGCTTTGTGTCTATTCATTCCTTCAAGGCTCATGACAACCCTATAACCCAGGGACTATTATCATCCCGTTTGCCTGGGGAGGAAACCCAGCCACAGAGCAGGCAAGGACCTAGGCCTTGATCACACAGGCAGGAAAGAGCTGATCCCAGATTCAAACTCAGGCAGTGCAGCCCAGGAGGCCTCACCCTTAACTGCCAAGCTTGGCCGCCTCTCAGGCACCTAATACTTCCCTGGAGGAGTAAATGGTGGAGGTGGGGATAGAGAATGGCCAGACTGAAACTCCACTGAGAAGGATGCCTGGGGCAGAGCTGTCTTCCTTTGAACTCCTCGCAGAACTCATTCTTTAACTTAGCCCCAGAGGCAACCACAATTCAGTGTGGTTCTTTTGTTTGTTGTGTGTCTGTGTTTGTGTATGTGTACAGATATGTATCTACGTGTCTATATACATAGATAGCTACAAACACAAATACATATTTGTATATACTGTGAGGGTTATATTTGTATTATATGTAACATATATCTCTATCACTGCCTAGAGGAAGGTCTTGGACATTTTAAACATCATTAAATGGCACTATAGTGTATTTATCTTTCTGCAGACTTGCCGAAGAATACAAAACATTTGACCCTAAAAAGTGACTCTGCTCACTTTTTAATTTTAAAATGTGATCAGAGATATAGTACTTGGATGGGCAAAAAGTGAAGGAATTTGCTTTGATAAAGACTGGCAACCAGAGGAATCTTTTAGTCCTCTTTATGTACTGCCAGTCTGAGCCTACAAATATTTTTTATTAAAAATACAGAAAAAAAGGCAACTTTTTTTTCTAATATAGAAAAGGAAATGTCCTAGGTCTTTTAGTCCCCTGGGACTCTTGCATCACAAAATCAGGAACTGGGACATTGGCACCTCCTGAGGATGGGACCACCCAGTGTGGGCTTATATATATGTGCACACACACAGCACACTTGTCCCAATGTCTACAGGATGTTCTACTCCATGATCTAGACCATTTGCGTGACCTCGCGCAAAGGCAACAGTACTAACCTTGGAGTCTAAACGCCAAGGGTATGAACGTGGGCACGTGTCGCATACTTCCCAGTTCATGCATACTTTCCAAACAACGCACAGCCATGAGTGGGAGAGGGGAGAGGATTGAATTTCGTGAGCAGCATGCAAGATGTATTGACAGGACTGCACCGAGAGTCTTTTCTCCAAGGAAGGTCAAATTTTAACCTTTTAACGTTGGAAGTGAAGACACCTGATATGATCATTGACAAACCAAGAAATACTAAAAACCCTCAAGAGTTGAAGCATTCTTTTACAATCCTTGTTTTAGATACCTTTTTAATAGGGTGACCAATTGCCCCAGTTTGCTCAGCACTGAGAAGTTTCCCAGGACACAGAACATTCCAGGCTGAGGCAGGATGCTTGGTCACCCTACTTCTGCACGTCAGCGTGCTTGGGAAGCGCCCTGCACCACCGGCATTCCTGGGCCCCAGAACCCAGGCACTGGGCCGGATCAGGCCCCAGGCCCCAGGCCCCAGGCACTGGGTGGGATCCGCAGAACATGGGTCCTGCCTCTCAGCAGTTCAGGTCTCTTCACATTTCTCAGCCTCCTATGGCCACGGTTTCCTGTGCTCTGTTCACGTTTTTCAAATGTGATGTTTATTATTTCTTAACTTGTAATGTGTCAAACAAGTATAAGGAAAGCTAACGAGACGGAAACATAGGGAAAAAATATTTTTAAAGCAGTATTACAAGAAGAAAGTGAATACTTAAGCGGAATTGGTGAAAACCTTTAATTTACAGAAAGTGTCACAAACCCACTTCCACTTCATTAGAGTACATATATTATATCAATTCTTAATAGTAGTTATAAATTGTAATAGGAACCAGGAAGACTACAACATTTATCAGTTCACAAGTGGATTTTTCGTAATCCTGCTGTCTTCAGGTATACATTTATGTCCCAATTTCTTTAAGACACAGAGTCATAAAGAGATTCGGGTGTTCCCTGAGCTACAAAGCAGAAGAGCCTCCCTCGGCCCCTGGGGAGCCTGCTCAGGAATCGGGCTGTGTGGGGACAGTCTCCTCACCTTTGGGCATGAGGTGGGGCTGGGCAAAGACCACCCAGCTCCCTAACCCCTACTCATCCACCTCCTGCCCCAGTTAAAATCAATAAATATTTACTGGCAGCTACAGGTGTCTGGGGAGGCAGAAAGGAACAAGTCATGGGCCCCCACCCAAGGAGGGGGCAGGATGCAGCGTAAGAACCTGCGCTTGGTCACTGAGGTGCTTGGCCTCAGGCCACCACCTCACCTGCGCAATTAGGTACATGGTAAGAGCATGGTGACGGTTCTCTCTCCGCTGGGGTGACATGGGGATGTTAGGTGACCTCGAGGGCCATTGACACAGTCAGATGTGGGAGCCCCGGGTCCATTGCAAATGGATCCAGTCTAATGGGGGAGAGAGACCTGCCTTCCTCACACGGTGGTGGCCAACCTCGACGTTAGATTTGGGGGAAGTTCAGAGGAGTGAGCGGGCCTCCCTGGGGGGCTTCCCAGAGGTGGGCTTAGAGCCAGACTTTGAAGGGCAGGCAGGGTTAGAGTAATGAGCAAAGGGCAGAGGAAGCAGTGCGAGCAAACGCGGGGACCTGAGCAGGCCCGTTGGGGCAGCAGGAGGGCAGCAGGGTTCTGGGAAGCAGGGGAAGCCGTCCTGTCCCGGCCGGCTGCTGGGAGAAGGTGGGGGCAGAGGGGAAAATGGAGGGAAACTGGTGCTTCCGTGTCCACTGGTCAGGGGTGGGAGTTGATTAGTAACTGAGGGAGGAAACATAAGATCCTCTCTGAGTGGAAAGTCTCTAGCAGTGACTATCTCTGAGTCCTTCTCCAGTCCCAAAGCTCTGCCATTTCTGCCTTTGCTGCTATGAAATAAATATATATATATGTATATACTGTTTGTATGTGTTTATGTGCATGTGTGTGTGTATGTGGGGGTGCATATATGTGTATATATGTGTATGTGAGCATGTATGAGCATACATATGTATGTGTGCGTGTATATGTGTGTATAAATATTATAGATTCAGATTTTCCCATATTTCCCCACATTCTGCCAGCAGTAATAGAACAAGCTACATAAATTGCCACAAACTGTCAAATATTCAGGATTCTCTGTTCTCAGAGTTCAAAGAGAAGTAGTTGTAACGATGGTTTTCATATTGAAATGAGAACTACTAAGCTAAGCTAACCTAGAGAGGATTCTAGCAAATAGATCTTGGATTGATTCCTTGCTTGCAATTTATCTAAGCAATCCATACCAAAAAAAAGTAATAAATATGCAATTTTGCCTAAATCTCATGAATAACTGATAAAAAGCTAGATTATCTGGGCTTCAGCAAGTACTTTCACATGGAGTTATAAATACAGAACATTGAAGGAGTGGTCGGGAGGCCAGGATCCCAAGTCAGACTGTGAGAATTCAATCTCTGGGTGCCTTTTCATCTCTAGTCTGATTGATAGACTGTGGAGTGCGTTCTCCAAAAACAAGTTTTAGAGGAGCCACAAAGTCGGAAGGGGCTGTGGGGGAAGCACCTTCGGTTGCCTGCTTGCCACAGCTGCTAGTCAGGGAATAGGTACATCGGGCCGTTCCTCATCTTCCTGGCCTGCTGACCCACAATTATCCTCACTCAAAAGCACTGTAGATGGGACCAGGCACGGCGGCTCACACCTGTAATCCCAGCAGTAATCCCAGCACTTTGAGAGGTTGAGGCAGGCAGATCACCTGAGGTCAGGAGTTCAAGACCAGCCTGGCCAACGTGGTGAAACCCCATCTCTACCAAAAATACAAAATTTAGCCGGGTGTGGTGACATGTGCCTGTGGTCCCAGCTACTCAGGAGGCTGAGGCAGGAGAATCACTTGAGCCCAGGAGGCGGAGGTTGCAGTGAGCCGAGATTGCGCCATTGCACTCCAGCCGGGCGACAGAGCGAGATTCCGTCTCAAAAACAAACAAACAAACAAAAAAACCCACCAAACATTGTAGAAGAAGGAAACACCCTCACTGTGGATCACATGCATCACTTCTGAAGATTTATTTTGTTAAGGAAAGAAACTTTGTTTGCCTCGGGTTTTGGGTTGGTGATGAGTTTTCCTCGTTCAGCTCATTAGCCCATAGAACAACTGCTTCAGCGCATCACGCTGGCAGGGCCCTGAAGGAGAAGATAATCCGCTCTTTCTGAATCCATAGGACAATAATAGCAAATTCTGAGCTTATTAAAATACATGGTGTCACCAGCTCATCAGAAAGGGCAACAGGCAGTATACCAATGCAGTTCTGGTCTTGTAGTTTCAAAAGGCTAATTACTTTTACAATAAAATAAAGAGAACTTACCTGTCATTGAGCTGATGCATGTAAAAGCTGTTTCTAGCTAATAGAGGTTTCTGCAAATGATTCAGTACACATTTTCCACAATGTTCCACAAATCATATTGGGGTATAGTTGTTGGCGGCATTTCATACCTGAGTGAGGTGTGATCATGTTTTAATTAGGATCCTGTAAGGTGAAAATAGACTGCACATGCAAATAGTCGGAACTAATTGCCTATTTTCATGATACATAGTGATTTCTAAGAAAATTATGACTAATTTTAAATGAACTAAAAATATGAAGTGATATCCAACCTGAATCCTGTGATAGGGTTTGGGAGTTTCTTACCTAAAGGGCTAAATCTTTGTCATTTCATTTATAGCCATTCATGAACACAGGTAATAGTGTTTGCAGATCTTTATAAAAATGTGTGACATGGATTGTTAACATTAGCTTGGCCTCAAGGTAATTTTCCTCTAGAAGTATTTATATATTTTAATAGACAACTGACAGACTATTGGGGCTTCAAGTCCTTTCCTTATAAATTTGAATCCACCTTTATGTTATTACTGCATTCAATTTTCTCTAGATTATATGTGCCAATACAAAAATTCTAACCTTTTCCCCTTGGTTTAATATTTTTCTGTGTGTTTTTATATGCATATGGGAAACACTGACAGAGATGAAACACCCATCCCATCTGTTATCCTTGTCCTCTTTCTCTTCTCCTCTACCCCCACCAATCACAAGTGGGACCCTGGAAACCCGGGGCTGTAATGCATGAAAGATCTAGAAACGAGGAGAGGTAGAACACACTAATAAGAAGAGCCCATGGTCAGAGCACCCCTGCAGATTGTCAGGAGCTAAGAATGGAGGAAAAGAGAGACTCATTAAGCCATGCCCCATGGAGAGGCAATGGGAGGTGCATAAGAAATGTTTCTGGAAGTCCTGACCAGGGCAATCGGGCATGAGAAAGAAAGAAAAAGAGAGGAAGTCAAACTATCCCTATTTGCAGACAATATGATTCTATACCTACAAAACCCCATAGCCTCTGCTCAAGACCTCCTTGATCTGATAAGCAACTTTAGCAAAGTTTCAGGATATAAAATCAATGTACAAAAACCACTAGCTTTCCTGTACACCAACAACAGCCAAGCTGAGAGCCAAATCAAGAACACAATCCCATTCACAATAGTCACAGAAAGAATAAATACCTAGGGTATAGCTAACCATGGAGGTGAAAGATCTCTGCAGTGAGAATTGCAAAAGACTGCTCAAAGAAATCAGAGATGACACAAACAAATGGAAAAACATTTCATGCTTATGGATAGAAGAATCAATATTGTTAAAATGGCCATACTGCCCAAAGCAATTTACAGATTCGATGCTATTCCAATTAATCTACCAATGACATTCTTCATAGAATTAGAAAAAACAATTTTAAAATTTATGTGGAACCAAAAAGAGACTGAATAGCCAAGGAAATCTTAAGCAAAAAGAACAAAGCTGGAGGGAACACATTACCCAACTTCAAACTATATGACAAGGCTACAGTAACCAAAACAGCATGTACTGGTATAAAAACAGACACATAAACCAATGGAACAGAATAGACAGCCCAGAAATAAGGCTGCACACCTACAACCATCTGATCTTTGACAAACTTGACAAAAGCAATAGGGAAAGGACTCCCTATTCAATAAATGGTGGTGGGATAGCTGGCTAGCCATACGCAGAAGATTCAAACTGGACCCCTTCCTTATACTGTGCACAAAAATCAACTCAAGATGGATAAAATACTTAAATGTAAAACCTAAAACTACAAAAACCCTGGAAGATAACCTCAGAAATACCATTCTGGACATAGGATCTAGCAAAGATTTCATGACAAAGACACCAAAAGATGTTGCAACAAAAACAAAAATTTACAAATGGGACCTAATTAAACTAAAGAGCTTCTGCACAGCAAAGGAAACCATTGACAGAGTAAACAGATAACCTACAGAATGGGAGGAAATATTTCCAAACTATGCATCTGACAAAGGCCTAAAATTCAGAATCTATAAGGAACTTAAAGGAATTTACGGGCAAAAACCAAACAACCCCATTCAAAAGTGGGCAAATGACATGAACAGACATTTTTCAAAATAAGACACAAATGACCAACAAGCATGTGAAAAAATGCTTCACATCACTGATCATTACAGAAATGCAAATCAAATCCACAATGAGATACCATCTCACACCACTCAGAATGGCTATTGCTAAAAAGTAAAAAAATAACAGATGCTGACAAGGTTGCAGAGAAAAGAGAATGCTATACACTGCTGGTGGGGGAGTGTAAATTAGTTCAGCCATTGTGGAAAGCAGTGTGGTGATTCCTCAAAGAACTTAAAACAGAATTACCATTTGACCCAGCAATCTCCTTATTGGGTATATACCTGAAGTAATATAAATCATTTTACCATAAAGACACGTGCACGTGTATATTCATGACAACACTCTTCACAATAGCAAAGACATGAAATCAACCTAAATGCCCATCAGTGGTAGACTGGATAAAAAATGTAGTACATACATACCATGGAATACTATGCAGCCATGAAAAAGAATGGGATCATGGCTTTTGCAGCAACATGGATAGAGCTTTTATCCTAAGCAAGCTAACACAGGAACAGAAAAACAAATCCCACATGTTCTCACTTATAAGTGGGAATAAACAAGAACACATAGACACAAAGAGGAGAACAACAGGCTTCAGGGATTACTTGAGGCTGGAGGCTGGGAGAAGGGAGAGGATCAAAAATCTACTTATCAGGTACTATGCTTAGTACCTGGGTGAAAAAATAATCTGTACACCAAACATCTGAGACACATGTACCCCTGAGCCCAAAATAAAAGTTAAAAAATAGAAGAAAAGGAAAGTAAACCCCCAAAAAAGAAATATTTCTCAGACTCTTGGAGAAGCTGTCCCCTCACAGGGAATGGGGAGAACAGTCTCTTAAGTTTCCCCAGAGAAGCTTTGTCACAAGTAATCTCAAATCCAGATCTGGTTGAATTCTCTGAGAGAGAAAGAAATGCAAAATTAACACTCAACTCAGGAAGGTTGATTAAGAGAAGGTGCTAATATTTGCTTTCCTTTTCCTCAATTCTGAAAATATCATACTTCATTTTTTTTCTTTTACCGCTGTTTATAAGTATGTTCACTTTGCTATCAGGTCAGTTTGGTTCGTGTGGGACATTTCGCTAGGATTTTATTTCTTTTCTTAATAAATAGTCAATATTTGTCAACATATCACTTTTGACATTCTGTTTTTTAAATACGCTTTGTAGAAAGTGAGAGATTTCTTTAAATGAAATGATTTCAGTCGCAGAACACACATTTGTTTTTAATCTCTGGTCCCAGTGGTATTTATCTCTTACTAAGAAAGCAAGCTTTCCTTTTAGAAAGTGATCTGTTCCCTCATTGTTTTATTTATAATTTAGAGTATGGGTAGTCTGTCTGCTGAAATGAAAATAATGACCACAGCCTATTAAGTTTCTCCAAATGGAACAGGTGATACCCAGGGTTTCAAAAGTCTGAAAATAACAAATGATCAATGAGCAAAGAAATGAAGGTATAAGGCCTAAAATTTGCAACATAAAAATAAACACATCCTCAAGAAATACTGAAATCGATTTTTATTTCCTTGGCTCACATTTGTGCTCATTACACATCAGACATTTCCATGATATTCAACTCCCTACGGTTTAGATGTGAGAATAGCACATGGAAACAAGGACACTCACACCCAGTTGTGTTTCCCATCCCTGTTTCCTGGCTCATCACTACATGATGAGATGCTTGAGGGAGCTGCTCTTCACACTTAACGCCCAGCACTCAGCGTGTGCCCAGATAGAATGGAGGCATGGATGGTAGCCTGCTCCATTTTAATATTAGATTAAAATGCAAGCATCTCATTTCTTTCTACAAAATTAAAATATAAGACTGTCAGGATCCATAAGTGTCTCTTATAATGAAAGTGGAAGAATTAGAATCCATAATCTTATTTTTGCAATAAAAATATGAATCACTGTTCACAAATATTCAGCGCAATAGAATACCAAGTGAGATTGTGCCTGTCTTAGAAAGAAAGGCAAGCTCTCAATCTGTGGATACCATATGGATGTCGCTGAGAAGGAGTGGGGACTTGGGCAGCAAAGCTGCCAGGCGTTGGGGAGCATATGGAAGTGGCCTGTTTGGGGCCACAGACGGTCGGGCAATGCTTCCTTCTCTCTTCACAGTTGTCTAACATATTGCCACTGTCTACATGAGCATAACTTAATAGCCAATTTGAATTCTATTGTAGTTAAACTTGGTGTTATCCTGTTAGTAAACTAGCTTATATTGCACAATCGAGTCCAAAGATTATTTTTGCTTTATTTACTACATAAAGCAAATACTCTGTAAAGAACTGAAACCACTTTTATTCATAGACTATATTGGAGATTTTCTTTTCTTTTCTTTTTTCTCTTCTTTTCTTGTCCTAAGACATAACATAGTACCTTCAATGAAGATGACGGTGGTAGTGCTAGTATAGTATACAAATTAGAAAAAGGATAATTGCAGAGATCAGAATCTAAGCTACATTTTACTTTTTTTAAAAAAAAAAGATTGTCAGGTTATCATGTTAAAATTAGCATCTTCTCTATATTAATAAATCAATTCTGTGATTAAAAGTCCAGAAATAAAATAACAAATAAATGTGCATTTTATTTAGCTATTTTTAGTGTGCTATTGGATTTGAAGCTAATTTGGCTAAGCACACGTTTGGATTTCCATCTTTTTTGGTATCACTTCCTAGGATTTTAGTGCAGTGGCTCCTAAAAAGAATGCTCAAATATTACTTATAATCCCCCAAGATATATCTTCTTTGCATGGAATAAAATGTGAACTAACTTGGAGAAAGGAACACTTTAGACATACATTTCATTAATGTAAATATCCACCTCAAACTATGTGGATTAGCATCTCTTAGAATTGATGTTACAATGCTAACAAGAGAAAAAGAAAACAAAGTACCGGTCTACAAAAATATTTGTCTAATGCCGAATGTTAGATTATTAAACAGAAAAGCACATTAGCTAATGTGAAATGATGTTTTTCTCCAAATTTATTACATTTTCCCCCTCTGTGTTAAATTTTCTTTAAAAGGAGATCTCACAGGAGTGGATAGGCAAGCTGGATCTGTGAGCAGCTACAAATAGAAGCACAAGACAAAGTAATCTATAGGCTGGCACTCACATTCATTTACTAAATAAGGTCGTGAGCAATATTAGGCACATTTTTCTGACACCTTTCCCAGTTGACTAGAAGTTGAGTGCATTTAGTAAAGGAAGTACACAGTGAACTGTTGTTAGTATTTATCAGGAAACGTGATGAGTGGCCCTGAAATAGAGCATCTTACCATCCAAATTTCTCAGTAGCCTTAATAAAGAATAGTCAGTAGCCTTAGTGCAGACTAGCTGGAGTAGATCTAAGCAGTATTAATGTGGCAGTCCGCCTCAGCATGAAAGTGGAGCTTTGCAAAAGGACGAGAAATGGATTTGGATGGGCAAGGTTGAAAGTAGTTGTAAGTTGATCTGGCATTTTATATTTCATTAATCAATTTCTAAATCTATAATTAAAAGAAAACTACATTGAGTGGTTGGGCATAAAGTAGAGATTGAATGATACCCACAACAAATAATTGTTAATATTGACAGGTTATGCTACAGGGATTGCCTAATTTCACAGATGAGGGTAACACAAAATGAGACAACTGCTACATAATGTTTATTCTAAAGGAATATTATGACATTACTGAGTTTTGAATTTTCCTTTGTATTGACTTTTTCATAATGCATGAAATAAGCATACATCAACCTAGTTAATACCTGAACAAGACAACATATCCAAGCCATAATTTGATGTAAAGCATGTGACACAAAGGAAATATCATATTGTAAATATCGTACTGTAAACTAACAACTGAAAACTTCCATATGTCTAAAGTACACAAACATATTCTTTATTTTACCTTCACATTCTTTCTTTTAAAGAAAGAAAAGCCATTGCAACTCAGCAGTGAACAAGGCAAAGACAGTCAATTGAAATCAACCCTCCATTGCACAGTAAGAGTATATGTGTGAAGTTCTTGAGCCGAGCCCCTAAAAGTCTCCATGAACATCAAACCACGCCTGTTGGGGGACCTCAGTTCTCTACCAAATGTCTTGTTAATTGAGCTTTGGCAAATGTCTCCATGAGGACCATTGTCACCCGTCATGCTCATGAGAGTCACGGCCTACGCTTCCACATACTTTTAAAAATCTTATTAAAGATTACAGAGCAGTCAGGTGAGTACACAGACAATTACATCCAGACGATGAACAGAAGGACAGAATAATGTACTAACTTTCTGCTCTTTAATGGACTTTACCTGTGACCCAAATATATTCCTTCTAAAGCATTTATAGAACTATCAAAGTTTAGATATTGTAATACCAATGTGTAATCCATTCTATAATGCAGAATATCTTTCTAAAATGTGAAAAAGTGCCAAGTATTCAATTCAACACAGTAAGTGTTGAACATGAGGACAAAGAAAATTCACTGGAGGGCCTTCATTAAAAAATATCCCCACTGAAAATAAAGCAGAGACCACCAGAGTGGACAGAGCACTCACCATGGCCTTAGAAGGTGGAGCTTCCAAGCGGATGCACCCATTTCTATGGGCTGAGGACCATAACCTCTGAGCATTAACTTCCTCTTCCAAAGCACATGGATGATATCTACTGCAGAGGCATGTTGAAGGGATTAAATTGGTTAACGCATACTGAAGCAGCCACTAAATTTCTCTGTTAAATACATGTATCTCTTCCCCTTACTTTTGCTGAGAACAAAATAATTTCTGTTCTTTGTTGCACCCAGTTTGTACTGAAGGGCATAACCTTGAATATTTGAAAAGGAAAACTCTCTTCAGTTCAATGGAAGATATAGGACATGTTAAGTAAGAAACAGCAAGCTCTTTAAATCAGTGAATAGCTGTATTGGGGGGAAAAATGTGGTTCATCCCAAGGCAGCCAAAAGTTGACCTGGTGAACTGTCTGGTTGGTTTTATGCCCTATTTAAACACACATTAAACAGATCTGAAGTGTCTTAAAATGGAAAAATGTCTTCGTTCAAATAATAAGAACTTAATAAAATTCTTCATTACTTCACTGGAGCCTTATTTGACAATACTAAATTTTTTCTCCTAGGCTTACATGATAGATTCTATCACAGAATCTTTCTCTCCCACCACCTTTTTTTTAAATTCCCTTTGGCTCTTAACTCTACCATTATGACAGCAACACTTAAAGCTGACCTTTTTTTGACAGAGTTAGCAATTCTCCTCCAGGCTATGTAGTGATTCTTCAATGCTTATGTGTAAATTATGCAACTGTCTCATACTTCACAGAAACATTTTATAATCCTGTGTACTATTCCATCATTGGTTTAATGAAAACATTAACACTTGGTTTCCATAATATTTACCATATGGTAAAGTCACTGTTTTATAGAGTAAAGGGACAGATAGCTGAGGTCAATTTAAATAATTGTCTTAAAATTCCCCATGATGAACAAATTTTTTAAATTTATCTTATCTACCAATAGCATGGAAATATCAAGCTTATATACACAGGTGGACTTGCACCTTTACCGTATTTGATTATTTTTCATAACTTAGAATCTAGGCATATATCTATGTAATGGAGTTTTTACAGAAGCCTTTGGACAAGAACACATTTGTTGTAATTCTCGGTATTTAAATCAATTGCGCATAATAAAATGACTCATGAAAACATTCTACTTAATATGGTATATCTTCCCGTAGTAAAAGATGACTTCCTCGTTCCTCCCCCTATAAGAGTTACCAATGTAAGCAGTCGAAATGGTTGAGCCTCTTGGTTTTGCACTCCTACCAAGTCTGGTTTGTAACTAGGAAAATAAGCAAACAGGTCATGAGGGTATGAGGGGAGGGTAGCATAATGCAGTGCTCATTCTCTTCCTCTTCCTCAATAATTCAGCCCAAAGCCACCAAATGGAGCTGAGCACGTGCAGTCAGCGTCTACCTGCAGTGGCAGAGGGAGCCACTGTGGTCCAGGGAGGGGTGTCAGGGCCTAAGAAGAGTGAGGAAGACATCTGTGTGGTTGGGAAGCACTGCCAATGGCCCTGCAAGTGGGATCAGAATACCAGAGTGACCAGAAAGGCATCTGCATTGGGATGAAGAAGGAGTACAGAGCAGTGGGATATTGGTTACATACAGGGGTAGATCAAATGAATAAATATAAAAAGGATAATGGGAGCCAAGAGAGTTACAAATATGAAAAGATAGAGAATTTGAAAATACTCTGGGGTATTGGATTAGAGTTGAGATACTGGCATAAACTCATGATTTTCATTATAGATAAAGGTAGCTGTGGAAATGAGCATGGTTGTAACTATGTGTATGTGTGTATAGCTATGTTCACTGTGAGGGCCCGGGAGCAGTGGCACCCCAAAAGCAGTGAGCACATCTGGTACCTGGATTTTGGTTTCTAAGTACCATTCTCCCTAAAAAGGAACCAAAGCTCCTTGAGAAATGGCCAATTCCAGAACTAAGGCAGGAAAAGTCCAAGAATGATCTTGGAACAGAGCCATGTCAAAAAGAAAGAAAATGCTTAAAGAGCAAAGGAGACATGTGCAGGGGACACAGATGCTGGCTCAAAAGGGTTGCCCAATTGCCAAGTCAGGGACCCTTTGACCTTCAAAATAAATGATAGTAAAATGGGCTATAACCCATAGACTACATTAGGAATTAATGACTCCATATTAATATAAATGAATAAATGAATAAAAGTTTGATGAAAAATTGTATATTTACCATTATTTCATATTATCTCCCAACAAAATGCACATTAATTATAAAGGGAAGAAGAGTAACTTTACTTTGGAAACTGATAATCTTTTTTTTTTTTTTGAGACGGAGTCTCGCTCATCGCCCAGGCTGGATTGCAGTGGCACGATCTCGGCTCACTGCAAGCTATGCCTCCCAGGTTCATGCCATTCTCCTGCCTCAGCCTCCCGAGTAGCTGGAACTACAGGCACCCACCACCACGCCCAGCTAATTTTTTGTATTTTTATTAGACATGGGGTTTCACCTTGTTAGCCAGGATGGTCTTGATCTCCTGACCTCGTGATCCACCCGCCTTGGCCTCCCAAAGTGCTGGGATTACAGGCATGAGCCACCATGCCCAACCAGAAACTGACAATCTTAATTGAAGGATCAAGGTTAACATGGCTATGAAATGGACAAATTAAAAGCACGTGGCAGCTGATGGAGCACAGTGGGATATATCTGCCAGAAATGCAAAACCTGACTCTAATCATTAGGAAGTGTCAGACAAACCCCAATTGAGGGATGTTCAATTTTTAAAAAACAAAACTGCCCTGTAACCTTTTAAAATGTCCAGGGCATGAAAGTCAAGGAAAAAAAAAACAAAACAAAACTGAAGAACTGTTTTAGATAGGAGAATAAAGAGACATCACAAATAATGCAACATGTGATTCTGGATTGATCTTTTTGCTATTAAGGATGTTATTGGGACAACTGGCAATATGTGAATGAGTTGGGGATAAAGTGGTAGTAATATACCGGTGTTTGTTGCATTTCAGTGCTTGTGTTACGATTATGTAGGAGAATGTCCTTGTTTGTAGGGAATATACACTGAACTATTTAGGTTCTTTTTGGTGATAAATGAAGTTTAGTATCTTTTCATGTGATCATTGACCATTTATACTTTTTTTATGAAGCCTCTATGTATATCCTTTACCCATTTTTCTATTGTTTTGGTTATTTTTTTCTCATTGATTGGTATTAGTTATTTGTAAATTAAGGAAATTAACCCTTTGTCAGTTATAGGTATTACGAATACCCCCACTTAAAGTTTACAAATAAATCCATTGATCTTTTCCTCAAGGACAGTAAGGGATTTTGCTTAATTCTGTTTTTACATTTTAATTATTTGCTCTAACTGAAATTTACATTGGTTTAAATAATGAGATAAAGATCTAGCTGTACATTTTTTAAAATGATTAGTCAATTGCCCCAACACCATATAAAAAGTAGCCTCTCTTTTTCCCACCTTTGAAACACAACCTATATCACAATCTAAATTCTACTTTATTTTGATCTACTTTTGGACTCGATTCTGTTCTTAACTATTTCTTCTCCAGGGCCAACCAAACTCTTTTCATTAATAACATGCTTCGGTAGAGTATTGTCCAATAGAACCGTCTACAATGATGAAAATATTCACTGTTTACTCTGTCCAGTATAGTAGCCACCATCACATTGAGCCTGGAGATGTGGCTAGTGTGACTAAGGACGTGAATTTTTTATTTTATAAATTTCTAATTAATTTAAACTTAAATTTCAAATAGCCACATGTGGCTAGTGGCTACCATATTGGACAGCAGAGTTTTATTATCTTACTGGGGAGTTTCTACCCATTCTTTCCACAGTTTTCCAAGATATTCTCACACGTTTATTTTTCCTTCTCATAAGAAATCTAGACTTTCTGGTTTTCCAGAAAAGGTCACATTGAATTTACAGAACACTTTGGGTACAGTTGTTATACTTTTAAAGTATGACATCATTAAGCCTTCTTTTAAGTCTCTCAGTAGAGTTTTAAAGTTTTCTTTATATAAATTTATACATCATCTTTTAAATCCATTCATATATATTTAATCTTTTTTTAATTTTTATTTTGTTTTATTTGTTTGCTGTTGTAAATGGTGTACTTATTTCAATGTCTTTTACTATATTTTCTCACTGATAATTATTTATATATAGTGCAGCTATGTAGGTATATTTT
Organism: Homo sapiens; assembly: GCF_000001405.40. NCBI lineage: Eukaryota > Metazoa > Chordata > Mammalia > Primates > Hominidae > Homo > Homo sapiens. The sequence goes on from NC_000006.12 coordinate 163,214,695, forward strand.
GTAATCTTTTGGGTAATTCTCTTTATGTTTTCAGGTTGTTGTAATTCTTCTTTCCAGTATTCAAACTTTCTAGTTATTTCTCATTTAACACTGTTGGCTGCCATTTCAATGGCAGTTTTAAGTAGTTGTAGCAATGGTTAGGATCCTCGTCTTATTCCACACTTTAATAGGTATGTTTTAGCATTTTATCATTAAGCTTCATGCTGGCTTAAAAAAGAAATCTGTCAATTCTTGCCTTACCACTGATTTTTAACATCAGAAATGAAGGTTGACATTTGTTAACATGCCTCTTCTCCTACCTTCTATGTAAGTTATATAATTTACCTCCTCTAATATATTACTAGTATATATTAATTTGACCCATTTGTAATTTTTTTTTATCTACCCATGTATTCAGGAAATAAATGCCACTCAGTCACGGCATTTTTTTTTTGTGCAATGTACTGCTAAATTTCTTTGGTAATTATGTAAAGATTTTTGTAATATTCAAGATAATCATCTATTTTAGAACTATTCTATCATCTTTCAGTGTCAGTGGTATGCTGTCATTATTTAAAAGAATTTTGGAGGATTCTTTCTATAATAGTTTAAATAAGCTTAAATAGAGAAATATCATTCCATGGAAAGTGGAATTAATTTGCTTCTAACGCCATCTTGGCATGGCATATTTTTATGTTAATTTAGCAATAGCTTTAATAGCATGCATTGTTATATTGTTCTGTTTTCTGTCTCTTCTGGAGTCAATTTAGTAGATTCCATTCTCCTTGACTAGGTTGATCCTGATATCATTAATCTAATGCCAAATTTAGAAAGAGGATGTTTTAGGGAAATATGATAATTTTATTTCTAGTTCTGTTGCATTTAAGATGCTCATGGGACATCGAGGTAGAAACAGCCAATAAACAAATAGAATATATATCTTAGAGCTATTTATGAGCAATCTGGGCTGGAAAGGTAGCCACATGCATGACTGTGGTGGTTAATGAGATCACCCAAGGACAACATAAAGCAATGACGAGTAATGGCCCCTGGTGGAACCCTGGAAACCCCAACATTTAACTGGGTAGGAAGAGGAAAAGGCTTGAGAATGACAGGAGAGACAGAAAAGTCAAGAATAAAAGATCAAAATCTCCCAATGCTTCAGAAAGGACAAATAGACAAATACTGAAGCATACCCATTGGATTTATTGTTTAGGAGATCAACAGTGGCCTCAGCAAAAGCGATTTCCAGGAAGTGTTTGAGACAAAGCCTGCTTTTGGGTGGCTGTAAAGTGCACTGAAGGTCAGGAACCGCAGCAGTAAGTGTAGGATGTGCTCATCAGAAGCCCGGCTGGGAAGAGAAGGATCCATGAGTCTTAAGTAATTTTAGAGATCATTTTTCAATTGAACACATGAAATGTAGACTTTTCCCTCTTTTCTGTGTCCAGAGGACGTGAGAAAGAAAGTTTTTCCTGTGTTGTCTAATAGAGAGCTGGCCGTTGTAAAGAGCATCTGGGGACAGCTGCCTTGTCATGCACTTTGAGGGATCTGGGACACCAGGGTGATGTGGAGATGTGAAAGGAGGGCCATAAAGCAGTGTCTGTCCCCAGTGGAGCCAGCACCAAGGGCAAGGGCTGGAAACCGAGGGGCTTGCACATCACCAAGGAAACCAAGGTGGAGGAACTTAGACAAAAACCTGGTGGAGGATGGGCAGAAGACAGTAATGAAACCATCGATTCACAGGCTGCTCTCAAGAGAAAAGGGGAAGAAAAACGAAGAGGAACACAAACTGAAGGCAGGATTTTTAAGGAAATATTTACAAATGCTTGAAAACTATAATTAATGTAAAGCAAGGATAGCTGATAAATAGAATATCTAAAATGCAAATGAGAGCTTAATGGCTTAGAAAAATCAAGTTGAGTCTGACTACTTCACCCAGCCCTCAATAAACACCATCCATCTACCCTTCAGCGCACCCAGCCCCCGTACACACATGCGTGTGCATACATATGCACATGTACACACAACGCAGAGATACAACTTTATCATAGTGTGAGATGCTGTCGTATTTGGCAACATTGCTATATTTTCCCCCAATTTGCTGTCCAATTTATTTTAATTATTTATATTTAGGAAACCCTCTTCCAAGAACAAAACCACCTATTATTTAAGGTTCTGCTGTCTTTAACTAGCACTGCAACTTTACAATATTCAATGTGCTTGCTTTCAACTTGCATTGTCTAATTAAATCCTCCAATAATCCATATAAAAGCAATGATCGTTTATACTTGCTGTATCTACAGAATTACATTCTCCATGAGGAACTTTGAAATACCCACAAGCATTCCACCAGCACGCCTTTGCAAGTGAATCTTCCCAATTTTCATTCAAAACTTCCGTTGAGTCCTAATAGGACTGGGGTCTGGGCACAAGTGTGAAAGACTCTGGGATGGGCAGAACCAGGCTTGGCGATAGAGGCTTAGCCTGACTAAATGAGGCCTGGGAATGTACCGCTCCCTGCAGAAGCTAGGGGTGCAGCCCGATTGTTGTAGGTATGATGCCCAAAGGCTAAAACAAGCTCCTGGCAAGCACCAAAGGAAAGCTCAGACTCAGGAAACTCACCCCCAACGGGAGCCCAATCCCAACAGAGCAGGTGATAGGCAGGTCTAGGCATACGCCAGTCCCTGGACAGGAAGGCCAGGGTTCCAGGGGAGGCCCAGTCACAGATACAAAGCCCACGTCCACGCAGTCTGCTCAGGAGGGGAGGAGGGGCATCCGCTCACTTGAAACCTTTGATCATGATTCTCAAATAGGCAACAATCTTTCTACATACCCCGAGGGTAGGGGTTCCCGGGGTAGGGGTCCCCAGCCCCCGGGCCATGGACTGGCACTGGTCTGTGCTCTGTTAGGAAGCAGCTGCACAGCAGGAGGTGAGCAGTGGGCAGGTGAGCAAGGCTTCATTTCATCTCTATTTAGGGTTGCTCTCATTGCTCGCTTTACTGCCTGAGCTCCGCCTCCTGTCAGATCAGCAGCAGCATTGGATTCTCACAGGAGTGTGAACTGTGTTGTGAACTGTGCATCTCAGGGATCCAGGCTGTGTGCACCTTGTGAGAATCTAATGCCTGATGATCTGCCACTGTCTCCCATCACCCCATCACAGATGGGACCATCTAGTTGCAGGAAGACAAGCTTAGGGCCCCCACTGATTTTACATTATGGTGAGGTGTATAATTATTTCATTATATATTACAATGTAATGATTATAGAAATAAAGTGCACAATCAATGTAATGCACTTGAACCGTGAAACCCTCCCCGACACTGGTCCATGGAAAAATTGTGTTGGGTGAGACTGGTCCCTGATGCCAAAAAGGCTGGGGCCCCTGCCCTAGGAAATTCATATTTGCACTCTTAGGGGTGTTGTATTCTTCATTCTTTGCGAATAAATTAGCTTCCTCTTCTCCAAAAGAAAACAGAAACTATCACATGAAGACTAGCACATCTTCCCACTGAAAACTTTTATCAACTTACCTCTCTCTGTCCTCATATCTCACTTTCCCTCCTCGTATGATGGATACAGCAATCTCTGTGCAGTTATCTAACACAGATAGATGCTGAATTCTGGCTGTACTGAATTCCATCCTCTGTTATCTACCCAAGAAGTTAATTTCTATAATTATTCCACTTTCTACTGCAATTTTCATGCTAGAAATAAATTCCTTTTTGCCCCCACATCCCCTTATGGGTATTGCCTCTTCTCTGCTTCTCTCTTCAACAGAACTCCTTCCAAGGGCTATGAGTGCTTTCCATGGCCACGTCCTCAACACTGACCCCGTCCCCTCTGCAACCCACTCCAGTTATCTTCTGTCTCCTTCTCTCCATTGAAATGCCTCATGTCAGGGCCCCTGGCAGCCTTGGTGTTGCCAAACCCAAGGTCCTGTTCTTTGTCCTCCTCTTACTCAAACTCCCAGCAACACTCACCCCAACCATCTGCTCTGATAACAGCCTTGTCCACCTGCTCCTCCAGCTCCTCCCAGCTCACAGGTCGCTCCCTCATCTCCTGGGCTGGCTCCTCCTCCCTCTGCCGCAGGGGCAGGGCTCGGGCTACCCTCTTCTCCAGCTGCACTCTCTCAACATGTATATAGCCCAGTGGATCTCAACAGGGGACAGCTTTGCCCTGCAGGGGTCACTTGACAATGTCTGAAGACACTTTTGTCACAAGGTGGGGAGATGCCGCAGGCATTCGTGTCTGGAAGCCTTGGATTCGGCCAAATATCCTCCAACGCACAGGACAGCCCCCACTGCGCTTACTCCGCATAGAAGGTCCACAGTGCCTGTTCTGTCCAGCAACCCTATTCTAGTCCATGGTTTTAAGCCATTTTATACACAGATGACAGAGTCACAGGTTGATATGCCCAGCTCTAACCACCCCTCTAATTTGTATGTCCAACCGCCGCCTCACTATTCCTATTTGAATGTCTAAATAGGTGATTTAGAATTAACCTCTGACACAGCTCTTCATTTTCCTCCAAAGTCCACTCTTTCTTGGCCATTTCCCTCTCAGCCAATGCCACCAGTTATATAGACCAAAGCCCTAAAAGTCAATCTTTATTCTTCTCTAATCCTTATAAGACACAGCCCATCCAGCAGCAAAGCTCATGGGCTCTGCCCTCACAACCCACCTTAAAGCTGAGCATGTCTCACAGTATCCAGAATGTGTCTTCCCAAGCCTTCACTGTCTCTGGGTTGAACTTCTGCATTTGTCTTCTAGTTCTTCTCCTTGCATCTATTCTTAAAGCCTGAAAATCTGCTTTCTATGCAAAAGAGTTATCTTTTCAAATACATTAATCCCATCATGCCATTCTCTTGCTTAAATACCTCCCAATGGTTTCTCATTGAGCTGAGAGTAAAATCCTCCTCCCCACTGCGGCCTGCAGTCAGCCTGCCTTTCCCACCTGCCTCCTCCTGCAGCTCAGCCTGCCTTTCCCACCTGCCTCCTCCTGCAGCTCAGCCTGAATTTCCCACCTGCCTCCTCCTACAGCTCAGCCTGCCTTTCCCACCTGCCTCCTCCTGCTGCCTCCCTCCCTCCTACCAGCATTTCCCTAAGCCTCAGAAACACCAAGGACATTTCCTATTTGCAGCCTTTACAGTTTCTGCTCGCTCAGCCCGGAGCATCCTGGCCCCGGTCTCCATGGGGTGCTCACCATTGTTGAGGTCTCTGTCCAAACATGCTTCCCCAAAGAGGCCTCCCCTGGCTGCCCTATGGAAAGGCTGCACACCCTCCTCCCATATCTTACCTTGCTTTATTTTGCTTCACAAAACACACTGCTATTTGAAACCAAGTCATCATCTACTATTTAATATCAATGCATTAGCTCTCTTTCTCCCTAGCATGTGAGCCCCAGTCCAAGCAAGGATGCCGTCTTTTCACCACCACCTGCCCAGAATCCAGAACAGAGCTGCACATAAAAGGAGCTCCCAATACATGCAGAGTGACTTCTGTGTCTTCTGCGACAGATAGAGTCAGGACAGAGGGCGGGGGTGGGGGAGTGCAGGAAGGAAAGGGTGTGCTCCATCTTTTTAGTAATTATGCTCATGCTCACAAAGCCTCGTCTGTGAGTTTTTCCATACATTGTCTAATTTATCCAGGGGTGTGCTCCCAGTACTCAGGCCTCTTGGCAGGGCATTCTGAGACAAGGGACAGAAGGACTGACTGCTAAGCGGGGGCAAGTGGGGCTGAGATGTAGATTTGCACACGCCCTCTCTCTCTCCATAGTAGACCTGAGAACAAGGGTACGAGGCAGGAGTGAGAGCCAGGCTCTAAGGCGGAGAAGATGGCACAGAAAAGACAGCGTTTGGGAAAACTCACAGAATGCCATAGAGTTTCCATAATATATGATAAATTAAATTAGGTAAGAAAATTGCAGTCCAGTACTTAAAGTCAAAGACCACTTTTTGAAACTTCCAGATGTGTGTGATTTGGAGATAAATATTTGCATATCTTTCCTTTAATTATGTTTTTTTAAGAGAGTATGTGGAGAAGTTAAATACTCATGATTGCACGTAAATGTTACCAAAAGTATATGGAATGTCTAATCATCATTAATAATGGCTAAACTGTATTGCATATTTACCAAGTACCAGGAACCATCCTAAGAGCTTACCTGGATTTCTTTGTTAAATCCTCACAACATCCCTATGAGGTAAGATTCATTATTGTCCCTGTCATTTGGGAAAGGAAGACCTAAGCTTACTGATGTTATGCAACTTGGGCTCTGCATCACTTTGCTGTCTTGTTCCAGCAATTTCACATGAGAGGCAAGACACAGTGAGAATAAATCATATAGTTCAGGAGTAAAACAAGCTTTAGTGTCTGCAGATTACTATTTTAAAAATCCTAATGGAAATCAAGCATTTTGAAGACAAAATACATAAGAAAATACTGTAGTGGTCTGTCTCAGTCATCTAGAAAGCATTTCATTATCTTGGAAGTAAATGGCACATGATAAAATAAATACTCTATTTCCCCACATCTGGCTCAGCATCGCAGTTTTCCTAGTTATTTGTTCCTGTATTCCCAAATAAAACAGAGTCCAGAGATAGGAATCTTCAGGAAGCCACTGGGTCCTTAGAGTCTGAATCTGGGTGTTGCGGGAAGGTTGATGCCACTTCTCTTCCGTGCGGGCAAAGGCAGTGAGAAGAAGGAGCCAAGCTCCCTGCAAACTTTGTACACGTGCCTTTGTGCCTTGCCTACACCTCACTGTGACTCTGTGAAATAGACATTACTCTTTGATTAATTTCACCGTGTGCAGCTGAACCAGTGACTCTCAGGGAGGTACTTTCATGGTTGCAAAGCACATCTTACGTTGAAGCTGGAATCCTAGGCTTCCGCCTGATTATCAGAAAGGAGGGTATTTGCAGCCAAGGGAACTATTTGAAAATAACCACAACTTTAAATAAACAAGCAAGAAAACATAGGTAAATGAATAATATTCCAAAGAATGCCAAAGATGTGTTGTGTCCCTGCAAGTGTGCTGAACTGTACTGAACTGACCAAAGCACTGCAGTTCAGTGGGCTTGCTGAGGACCCAAAGCTCAATGTCATTCGCTCACTGTTGACAGCAAGGCCTTTGCCTATTAAAGGACTTCCCTGCCAGGCACAGGTGTGTATTGGAGAGAAGAGCTGAGGATACTGGGTCGTGGGACCTTGCACAGCCAGACTGTTAAGGGCTAGAAGAATATTTTCTAATCCGCAGCTCTGGGATCTATAAAATCTGCTAGAAGGTATGAGAATACAGACAGGCTGCACCCTGATCACCTGGCGATATTCAGGTGCAGTGCAGGAGACACTGAATTCAGCAGCAGCTGATGGAACATTTTTCCTAAATAAATCAAGTTGTTCAGGTGCGCTGACCAAATGACAAAAAACTGTAAAGTATTTTGTAAACTTTTATTATAGATTACAGTGGTAATTGAAAAGTCAAGAAAATTAACCCACTATAAAAAAGATATTTGAGCATGTAACTATATTTACAAGAAGCAGGTTGGAATTCTCAGGGACAGCTTGTGGAAATGAAGGTCCCCCATGGTCCATCGCAACCAACCGTGTTCCTGGCGATGCTGTGAGGGTGCATGAGATGGGAGCTTGCATCCAAAGAAGGATGTGTGAGGCCGAGGCGGGTGGATCCCCCGAGGTCAGGCGTTCGAAACCAGCCTGGCCAACATGGTGAAACCCCATCTCTACTAAAAATACAAAAATTAGCCAGGTGTGGTGGCAGGTGCCTGTCGTCCCAGCTACTTGGGAGCCTGAGGCAGGAGAATCGCTTGAACCTGGAAGGCGGAGGTTGCGGTGAGCTGAGATCGCACCACTGTACTGCAGCCTGGGTGAGAGTGAGACCTTGTCTCACTTAAAAATATATATATGTGAACAAAAGCATTGCACGGAAAACACTTTTAAACACGTTCACAAATAACAAGGATGGAGTGGAATTAATGGCCATCCTAAAAGAGCTGAAGCATTTGCCCAATCTGCCCAAGAAAGAAAAATTAAGAGATTTGAACCACTAAGAAATAATGTAGATTCTGCAGAACCCAATATTGACATCAGATAAATAAACAGTTATAAGTATTAACATATATAAATTACTGGGTCCAAACTGCCTCCATCCCAAGTAATTAAGAGAATTGACTACAACATTTCAAATGTTACTTTTGAAAAATCATGTAGAGTTGTAGTAATATCAGAATGCCGTAGAGAAAGTTAATGATTATGTAGCTCAAAAAGGAAAAGTAAATGAGACTGTAATATTGTGATTATTTAACTTAGTGTACAGATTGATCTTGCCTTAAATAATTACCAATTAACTTCTACTGAAAAATGTAGTAGGTATGATTGTGTATAACATACCTAGGGAAAAAGAAGTAAAACAAAAGAACATTGACCGGGCGCGATGGCTCGTGCCTGTAATACCAGTACTTTGGGGGGCCGAGGCGGGTGAATCACCTGAGGTCAGGAGTTCAAGACCAGCTTGGCCAATGTGGTGAAACCCTGTCTCTACTAAAAATACAAAAATTAGCCGAGCATGGTGGCAGGTGCCTGTAATCCCAGCTACTTGGGAGGCTGAGGCAGGAGAATCCCTTGAACGTGGGAGGCAGAGGTTGCAGTAAGCCGAGATTGCGCCGTTGCACTCCAGCCTGGGCAAAAAGAGTGAAACTCCATCTCAAAAATGAAAAATAAAAAATAAAAGAATATTAAGGATAAACTAAAATACTGAGAATAAAAATGTGTGTGTCCCATTGAGAAAACATTTTCTGAGTGCCCACTGAGCTCCACACACAATGGGAAAGCAGAAGAAGGATGGAAGTAGTAGAAGCTTGCATTCTAATGAGAGTGTTAGACGACTCGACTGTAATGCACAGGAAAAAGTAAATGCTATAAAAGAAGAAGCCTAAATCAAGGGTTACAGGAGGATTTAATTTTGGAAGAGGGAACAGGAAAGAGAAAGTGGTCAGAAAAGGCTTGAGGTAGACTGCTTTTTGCTGGCTTTAGCATGTGGTGGGCTTTCGACTGGCTGAGGACCAGAAGAAACATGCTTAGGGAGAGGGAGCTGGTCCACAAACAGGCAGAATGGCATGCATTATGAAGATGTGCCTTGCTAATTGAATTGCTTTTCTAAACAGTGGATGAAAAATAAAGTAGAAACAGAGTGATTCTGTTAGTCAGGTTCCCTGGAAATGGGCTCTGAGTTGGAGATTCTTGCACAGAAATAACGCCTATAAGAGACTGAGAATGCTATCCTTATCAAAATTCCAGTGGCATTTTTCACAGAAATAGGAAAACTATCCTAACATGTATATGGAACCACAAACACCCTGAATAGCCAAAGCAACGTTGAGCAAAAAGAACAAAGCTGGGACCAGGCGTGGTGGCTCATGCCTGTAATCCTAGCACTTTAGGAGGCCAAGGTGGGAAGATCACCTGAGGTCAGGAGTTCAAGACCAGCCTGGCCAATATGGCACAACCCCATCTCTACTAAAAATACAAAAATTAGCCAGGCACAGTGACAGGCACCTGTAATCCCAGCTACTCAGGAGGCTAAGGCAGGAGAATAACTTGAACCTGGGATATGGAGCTTGTGGTGAGCCAAGATCATGCCACTGCACTGTAGCCTGGGCAACAGAGTGAGACTCCATCTCAAAAAAAAAAAAAAAAAAAAAAAAAAGAACAAAGCTGGAGTCACCACACTGCCTGATTTCCAAATACACTACAAAGATATAATAATCAAAACAGCATGGTGCTGGCATAAAAACAGACATGTAGACCAAATAGAACAGAATAGAGAGGCCAAAAATAAATCCACACATTTATATTCAGCTGATCTGCAACAAAGCTGCCAAGAACATAACACAGGGAAGGGACAGTCTCTTCAATAAATGGTATTGAGAAAACTGGATATCCACATGCAGAAAAATGAAACTGGGCCTTATCTCACAACATACAAAAGTCAACTCAGAATGGATTGAAGATTTAAATATAAGAGTTGGAACTGTAAAACTGCTAGAAGAAAACATAGGGGAAAACTACGTGACATTGGCCTAGGTAGTTTTGTTGTTGTTGTTGTTGTTTTTGATATAACCCAAAAGGCACAGGCAACAAAAGCAAAACTAGATAAATGGGATTATATCAAACTAAAAAGCTTCTGTACAGCAAAGGAAATAATCAATAGAGTGAAGAGATAACCTACGGAATGGAAGAAAATATTTGCAAACCAAAAATCCTATGAGTTAATATACAAAATATATAAGGAACTCAAACAATTTGATAGCAAGAAAACAAATAACCCAATTTAAAAATGGGCAAAGGATCTGAATAGACATTTCTCAAAAGAAGACATACAGATGGCAAACAGGTACATGAAAAAATGGTCAGCATCAGTAATCATCAAGGAGATGCAAATTAAAACCATGATGAGATATCTCTTCACACCTATTAGAATGGCTAATATCAAAATGACAAAAGATAGCAAGTGATGTGGTTTGGCTGTGTCCCCACCCAAATCTCATCTTGAATTTTAATCTCCATAATCCCCACATGTCTAGGGAGAGACCTGGTGGGAGGTGATTGGATCACAGGGGTGGTTACCCTCATGCAGTTCTCATGATAGTGAGTGAGTTCTCACGAGATCTGATGGCTTTATAAGGGGCTCTTCCTCCTTAGCTCCTCACTCCCTCTCTCTCACCTGCCACCATGTAAGGTGTATCTCTTCCACTTCTGCCATGACTGTAAGTTTCCTGAGGCCTCCCCAGCCATGCAGAACTGTGAGTACTTTATACATTACCCAGTCTCAGGTAGTATCTTTATAGCAGTGTGAGAATGAACTAATATAGCAAGTGTTTGTAAGGATGTGGAAAAAGAGGACCCTTACGCACTGTTAGTGGGAGTGTAAATTAGTACAGCCATTATGGAAAACAGTATGGAGGTTCCTCAAAACGTTAAAAATAGAGATACTGTGTAATCCAGCAATCCCACTTCTGGGTATATAGATGCAAAGGAAATTAAATCAGTATGTTGAAGAGATACTGCACTTTCATTTTCATTGCAGCATTATTCACAGTAGCCAAGACATGGAATCAACCTAAGTGTCCATCAGTCGACGAATGGATAAAGAAAATGTGGTACATATACACAATGGAATACTATTCAGCCTTTAAAAAGAAGGAAATTGGCTGTGCACAGTGGCTCATGCCTGTAATCCTAGCACTTTGAGAGGCTGAGGCAGGAGGATCACTTGAGTGCAGGAGTTTCAGACCAGCCTGGGCAACACAGCAAGACCCTGTCTCTACCAAAAAAACAAAATAAAAAGAAGGAAATCCTCTCATTTTCGACAACATGAATAAACCTGGAGGACATTATGCTAAGTGAAATATACCAGTCACATAAAGACAAAAACTGCGTGATCTCACTCATATGTGGAATCTAAAGTCAAATTCATAGAAGCAGAGAGTAGAACGGTGTTTAGCAGGAGCCTGGGGAAGGAAAGCGGATTGGGAGATGTTGGTTAAAAGGCACAAAGTTTTGATGAGACAGGATGAATGAGTTCTGGAGATCCACTGCAGTCTGGTGACGCTGGTTAATAATAATGTATATTTGAAAATTGCTAAGGGAGTAGGTCTTAAATGTTCTCACCACAAAAACATGAGAAGCATGTGAGGTGATGGATATGCTAATAAGCTTGATGTAATCATCCCACAGGGTATGGCGTACATGTGTTGAAACATCACATTGCGGACTGTAAATGTATATAGTTTTTATTTGTCAGTTAGGCCTTAATAACGCTGGAGGTGGGAAGAAAGAGGAAGAAACGGCTGGGCAGGAGAGGTTAGACTGCCTGGAGGAGGTCCCAGGCAATCTCCACTTGAGGCCAAGGGGCTGGGGCTCTGTGCCTATACATTAGCCAGCCCATGCAGGCTGCTGGAGGAAGGGGTAACCTTGAGTGAAGCAGCTCCTGTCTGAGGCAGAGGGCAATTCCCAGGGTGAGACCCAGCCATCGGTGGCTCACATCCCAGTGCCTGGGGAGAACCTGTTCTCTAGGAGGGTTGGGGCAGTACTCAGCAGCAGCCTCCACCGTGACCCATGATGTAGTAAAGGATAAACTCCAAAAATGTTTGAAAGTGTTTGCATCATTGATGTCTATTTTAATTAAAAGAGCCAATGGGATTAAAAATCATGGTAAACTGATCCTTTGTAGTTCATAAGTGTGATGAGTAGGATTTCACACTCATGTGTGAGATATGCCTCCCTCAAACCTTATAAATGATGATGGTACGTTAAAAAAAATAATGGTAAACCACATAAGATTCCACGGGAATTTTTGTGGCATGTAAAAACATGACTTCCTGCTTGTATTAGGCCATTCTTGCATTGCTATAAGGAAATACCTGAGGCTGGGTAATTTTTAAGAGATTTAATTGACTCCCAGTTCTGCAGGCTGTACAGGAAGCATTGTGCTGCCATCTGCTTCCCAGGAGGCCTCGGGAAGCTTCTACTCACGATAGAGGGCGAAGTAGGAGCACGCACATCACAAGATGAAAGCAGGAACAAGAGGGAGGTGGGAGGTAAGGTGCCACGTACTTAACAACCAGACCTCACCAGTACTCACTCACTAGGGCAGGGATGGCACCCAGCCATGAGGCATCCACCCCATGACCAAAGCACACCTCCCACCAGGCCTCGCCTCCAACACTGGGGATTCCATTTCAACACAACATTTGAGCGCGATCAGATATTCAAACTATAGCACTGCTGTTCTAATGAGTTAGAAGTTGAAGATGCACCAATATATGTAACGGAAAGATAACGAGAGGACTGTAAGCCATTCCCATGGGTGTGCCGTCCTTCATGAAGGAGCAGAGCCAGCAGCCTACCCATCGTTACAGGACTTGCACTGAGCCAGGTCAGCAGGAGCAGAAACAGCTTTATACTGATGGGGACTACAAAGCTTTAACACCCAGGTCCAGCAAACATTCACCCTTACACCCAGACCCTCATACACGTTTGCAAGACTGGACAAGATAGGTCTGCCTGTTCCATTGAGACGAACTGCCCTCCCTGTGGCGAGAATGAAACCCACAACTTGGGTGTTATTAGCACAGCCTCTCATCAAATTGACACCACCAGCCATAGGTTATGATAATAAGAAAATAAGGCAAATGCAGCTAAGCTGATATGTCCAAGTCGAAAAAACTAATTTCAGCTTAGAAAAACAGCACACTAATGAAGCTTTTAAAAATTAACTTGTGATTAAAGATCATACAGACAGGCAGTGTTGGTGAAAAACCACAATGAACATCAAAACAAGCATGAGTTCAGAGTCTGGAAATGTATCCAGAAGGTTATTGTTTTTAAATATACAGAGAAGACACATATATTTGTTTCCTGTTTAAGATATATATGTATATTAGAAAACAAGAAAATTATTTTTTTTTCAATCTACCACTAATCAGTGTGACAAAAATCCATGACCCTCCAGGAATTTGACCAGCTCTCCAGGCAATGGATTCTTCAAATGAGAGCAAGTTGAAGTACTTGTGGTATCAGAAGATGTAGTCAGAGTCCCTGAGCCCAGAGGGTGTTCTTAATCTACGCCTGAAAATGATTGAAATGGACATCAGTGGAGGCAGATAAGCTTTGGAAATCTTTAAGCAGGCAAAAAAAAAAAAAAAAAAAAAAAAAAATGGAATAAGTAAACCTAGAAGAGTACCTGGCACACAGCGGAGGCTCAACATGTGCTGGATTAATTCATTAATTCATTCAAAATTATGCTGGCGGTCAGTTTATGACAAATAGATTAAGATAGTGCACGGGTGCACGGCCATTAGAGTATGATTAGTAAACCAACTTTATACCAAAGAATTCCTTTTTATGGAAAAAGTACAGTCACTTTTTTAAAACTTTCGGCAATACTGCAGAAGTAAAGGAACGATGGTGAACGATCATGATTATTTTTGTAACATTTCCCAAAGTAAAAATTTCAGCTGAAAATAAAAAGAAACCTTTATAAATTGGAATAAATGCAGACTGGAGTGATTCTCTAGCACAGTGACCAACATTTGGACACATCACATAAGTCTTAAAGGTCGCAGAATGAGTCTAGTTATATATGTTTTTCCATTCCAGACAGCTTGAAATTTACTGTCTAATTCAAAAGTCCAAAACTATAAAACTCCTGAAAATAATCTTTCCAAATGACCAGTTTACTTTCTCCCTGGACCTGAAAATAGGATGGAAGGGAAGTCTAATTCTGAGAAAGTAGAATCTCCTTCTGATGTTTTGTTTATAAAAATAGTAAACATTTTACTGAACCAGAAAGGGCTAAATTTCATATCTCAATTTAAAAGTATTTGCAGGCCAGGCATAGTGGCTCATACCTGTAGTCCCAATGCTCTGGGAGGCTGAGGCAAGAGGATCACTTGAGTCCAGGAGTTCAAGACCAGCCTAGTCAACATAGTGAGACCCCCGTCTCTACAGAAAAGTAACCAGGGGAGAGGTGGTGCACACCTATGGCACTCAGGGGGCTGGGGCAGGAGGATCACTTTGAGCCCAGGAGTTAGAGGCTGCAGTGAGCAATAATCGTGCCACAGCACTCCAGCCTGGGTGACAGAGTGAGACCTCTGCCTTCTGCCTCTAAAAAAGACAAAACCACCACCACCACCACAACAAAAAATCCAGTATTTGTGATCCCTTTCAAAGCACTGATTCTTCTGCTTCTCAGAGCACTCAGATTGCATCTGATCTTTGCTTGCCAGAATCATCATTTTATGGTTTAGCAAGGAGTTGTCTGCAGGCTTTGCTCCAGTAATGGTTCCAAAGACATTCAGCCACAGCTTGAATAACCTGCACCTGAGCACAAATGTGGCATTCGTAGTCAAGCACCATCGTTCCCCTTCAGTTAGTTAGTCTCGTGACTTTTTTAAGTAGTAATTCCACACCTGTCAAATGCTGTTGGAAGAGACCCTTGAATAGTTCTAGGAGAACCCTCCTCTGGGAAGAAATTTGGGACAGAAGAATTTTTCTTAAGAAGGAAGAAAAGATGGATGAGGAAAGCGCTGACTTCCTCTCATGAGGACCAACAGGCTCCACAATTCCTTTAGCGGCAGTTGTCAGCAAGATGCCCAGAACTGTCTCCAGGCGACAGCAGAGGTCAATTTCAGGTCCACAGAGTCCCACTAACCTCCTATAATTTAGAACCTAATTCAATTGTAACCTGATGGTGAAATTATTCAACAGTTTGCTTCTGGGCATTGAAATAAATAATAAAAAACAGCAAATTTAATACTGCCATTGTTGACATTCTCTACAGTGGCATCAGAAACGCCTCAAAGTCCTATTTACTTCCAAGTGGCCATCTTCATAGTACATTGTCCTTTGTGAAAGCTCTTTGCAAAGAGAATGTACGTCTATATATGTAACATTTGCACCATGCATTACAGTTTTTAAAGAGCTTAGCAAATATGAATCTTCTTTACTACACAGCACTCCTTTAAGATAAAGCATTCAATAACCAATTTTTAATCTCTTCATTGTAGCACAGGTAACTGTGTCCTTATGTTAGGAAATTATGCCCCTTAGAATACCAGTTATTCCAATTTATCAGCCTAAAATGTATATGGAGTACTTACTGTAAGTCTACATGCATAGAATTTTTTAGTGTAATAAAATATTCACTATTTAATGGACAAAACATCCGAAAGAGATCCTACTTTCTCAGAATTAGACTTCCCTTTCCTCCTCCTATTTTAAGTTCCAGGGAGAAAATAAACTAGTTATCTGGAAAGCTTATACTTAGTGGAGTTTTATAGTTTCGACTTTTGAATAGACATTAAATTTCATGCCATCTAGAATGGAAAAACATATATAACTAGACTCATTCCACGGCCTTTAAGACTTATTTGACGTGTCCAAATGTGTCCAACTATGTGTCTATATGTCTGTTTATTGCTGATGGAAACAGCAACAGTAATTCACCTTCAAAATCCCTAAAACGTGGTTGAATAAACAAATGAAGAACGCAGGATGGTGTGTAATGCCGAACTGCTGTAGGTGCAGAGTTAGGGAGGGAAAAACCCGGAAGGTTATCAGAGCCTCCAACATTCAGAAAAGACTTCCTGGAGGAGAGAGGCCTTCAATTAGGCCTCGAAGGACAGTATTTGGAGAGAGAGGAGGAGGTAGGTAAGGTGTCCCTGCCAGTAATTACAGCCTCGTGAAAGAAGCCTGCGGGACAGAAATGAATATGGTATTGAGATGGCAGAGGAGAGAGGTCAAGGGTGCCACAATCTTCAGGCACAACTAAGAAGATCCCTGCAAAGGCAACGGCTCCTCTGGGCCAGCAGAGAAAGTGGAGACCCCAAACAGGGGCTCTCAAGATAGGATGGGGCTGCGGCTGGGAGCGGCACCACCTTTGGGAGGCTGGCAAGGTGGGCAGGCCCACGGGGGAGCCGTGGCTTGCTGGCTGGGGTTTCTCCTGCCAGCAGCACTGGCGTCCTCCAAAATTGCTTCCTGCGGCTTTTCTATTTCTCTTAACTTCATCCACTGTCTTTTCTTATGTCCTGTGACCCACTCACTGCCATGCCACTGAAAATGCTGTTAGAACAAGAAAACAGTAGTCTGTGTCATGTTAATCACATCCTGCTCGAACATGGCCAGAGTTCCCTGCCCATACCCTTTATAAAGCAGTGGACAGTCCCCAGATGGGCTTGCTGGAAGTCTGCACCGGCGCTGCATGCAGGAGAGCCCCGGGCTGCTCTGACCACAGTGACATGCCGGGTTGTCACACCCTGCACGGATGCAGACAATTCCATACAGATGGATCAGCAACTTTGCAGGTCTTCACAACTATGAGCCCAGATCCGCTGAGCCAGGATGCCTCAGCAAAAGGTGACTTCACATAGGGTGGCTTGAAAAGGCAAGCAATCCTGGCTGACTGCATGCCTTCCCCAGGACCAGCACCCACCAGGTGACTCCTTTTACCCTCAACAAACTCCATCTGCCAGTCAGAGCCCCTTATCCATGAGCTTGCATAGTTTCAGAATCACTCTCAACAAGCAGAGATCCATTTGCCTCTCTGAGGTGGGACCATACAGGTGCAAGAGCCTCTCCAGACCACTGGCTGCAGGTTGGCCATGATAAACAGCCTCACCCAAGAATGCTGAGCACGCAGTTACTGTAGGTAAACAAGTCCCGGCTTCACTCTCAGCTGGAGCTGGCACTACGTTGGTATTTATGTAATGCTGCATTGGCAGATATTTCATCTGCAGTATATGTTGAAATGGACAGATAATTATTTAGAACAAATAAAATAAGCTACTTCTGAAGATGACTTGAAGTGGGCACTGACTTGCTGGGACTCTCAGGCCAGCCTCTACCACCCAAGGCAGCTCTCTACAGAACACAAAGGTCCAGCCTAGAAGGGAGTGGCTGAGGTGAGTGCCTCAGGACAAGCCAACACAGTGATGTTCATTCCAGGAATATTTATGATGAAGAGAACCCAGGAGAGCTGAAGATTAGCGTCACACTCTTATAATAGAGAAGAGTTCACCTGCACCAGGTGCCGTGTCCCGCTGGGGCCTGGCTACTCCAGAGGCTCCTCCGCTGCTGCAATGTGCCCGAGCCCCAACCTGCAAGTCCTCCTGGTAGAGTAGCTCTTAGCTCCAGCCTGCGTGTCAGACCAACGCCCACACTTTGTCCACTTCTTACTTTGTTTAGTAAGAAGGGAAGGGAAAAGGAAGAAAAAGAGGAAAGGAGGAACAAAGGAAGAGGAGAAGGAAGAAGGCAGTGCAGTAAGGGAAGGGAAAGGTGGGAAGGTGTGGAAATAAGAAGCAGAGATGAGAAGGGGCAGAGGAAGGTGGCTCTGTGGTCCTGGCCTTGTTCATGGCAAAACACACTTATACTTTGAGGGTGTTCCGCTTCCCTAAGGCACACCGGGGAAGGTCAACAGGTTCCTGTGGACCAGCGAGAAGAGGAGCCCTGTTCAGGAACAGCAGGCAATAGGAAGAGACAAAAGTGATTGATTCCCTGAGGTGCCAGAGCAGGAAGAACAGTCCAGGCATGGCCTGAGAGCAGAGCAAGGTAAAGAGCACGCCTCACCTACCCCCCAGCTCACGCTCCCAGGAGGAGGCCCTGGCCCTGCACAGCCAGCCCCTCCACCCCTCCTCCAGGAGCCTCCACCCCCGAAACCAGCCCTCAGCCCTCTCCCAACTCTGCTCCTCCAGCTGAAATACTGCCCCTCACACCAGGGCCGCATCCCTCTGGGACTACAGCTGGAGTGGCCCTGCCAGTGTAGCAAAGGGCATCTCTGGGGAGGAGATGGTCTCAGCAACTTCAAACACATTTTCTGTTAAGTTTTCTCTTGTATTGTGATGTTACAGAACACGCTCAGCAGGAATTTGTCCCCCAAGAAGTATTCTTTGCTGCAATCCATCTTCAATTCACAATGGGAATAACCTGCTCACTATCCTTTGTATTTTTCTCACCTACTTTCATGTTTTCTACATCTCTGTTAGGAGATTTAAATTATTTAGGGACAAAGCTGAAGGTGTGTGAATGGATGGATGAAGAGATGGCTGAACTGATTGATGAACAAAAAGTTCACCTGCCAGTAAAAACAGAGGAATGGAGTAGAATGCAGGAGGCCGGAGGCTGCAGGGGCATTTTACAGTTGACCTAGATGGTAATTTGGAGAGAGAGGGAGAGAAATGACACCAGCCTTGAACTTGAGAGATGCCATTTTCTAAATTACCCTGTGTGGCTAAATGACTTTTGCATGCTAGCCCAAAGAAATAACTGCCATGCATTTCACTGTGTGAGAAAACATATTATGAGTTCAAGAAAATAAGAGGAAACATTTTAACATCAAGATGGGAAGGGATAAAGACAGTCCAAGAGGCCGTGGAGGGGGCAGGATACAGCTGTCCACATGAGAAATGGCAGTGACTTCTTTGTGTTAGGGGCAGAGGAGATGGAGAAAATGGAAATATTTGAAAAATATTGAAGACATATAAAGGACAGGTCTTAATAACACAGAATTGTGAGTGAGGAAGTAGGATGAGTAAAAGATAACTTCTGGATTTCTGTTCTGAAAACAAAATTCTGGAAGGGGAAATGGAATGAGGAGCACGTTTGTAGGGAAGGAGGGAAATTGTAAGTTGCACTGTCCTTCATTGTTAAGATTTCACCAAATGAGAGACATTCAAATAGAAATATTCCCTAAATAATAAGACATTTTGTCTTGGGGCTCAATAAGAAATGCCTGGTGGGAAGTAATAGATTTTATTCAGCCATTTAAGAGTGTTCAGGTCTTGGGGGATAACTATCATCATTAAAGGAAGAGTACTCTTGTCATTAATGATGGAGATGGTCCATAGAAAGTGACACAGAGCAGGGACAGAAGATGATCTAGGGTGCAGTTCTGAGTCTCACCCTCTGCTATAGTTTGGGTATGGTTTGGATATAGCTTGTTTGGCGCTGCCAAGTCTCATGTTGAAATTTGATCTGCAATGTTTGAAGTGAGGCCTGGTGGGAGGGTCATGGGGGGTGCAGATCCCTCAGGAATGGCTTGGTGCCATTCTCAGGGGAGTGACTTCTCATGGGAGTGGGTGAGTTCTCACTCTTAGTTCCTGCAGAAACTGGTTGTTGAAAAGAACCTGGCAGCTCCTCCTCTCTTGCTTCCTCTCTGGCCATGTGATCTCTGCACACACCAGCTCCCCTTCGTCTTCCACAATAAATGGAAGCTTCCTGAAGCCCTCACCAGAAGCAGATGCTGGTGCCATGTTTCTTGTATGGCCTGCAGAGCCATGAGCCAAGATAAACCTCTTTTCCTTAAAAATTATCCAGCCTCGGCATTCCTTTATAGCAGCCCCAACAGACTAAAACACCTACATTTAAGGGACAGACGGCTCCCAAAGGAGACCAAGCAGATGTAGCCACAGATGCAGGTCAAAAACCACAGGAGTTTACTTCTATGGGCACCAAAAGAAGAATGTGTTTAAACAAAGAGAGCAGAGTCAAAAATTTCTCTTGGAGGCAAAGTAAAATAAAGGCTGAAAAATGTCCATTGAACTGAGCAACAATGCTGTCTTGGGTAAAGCAGTTTTCATATAGAGGTAAAACAGAAGCCAGATTATAATGGGTAAAAAAATAAATGAGAGTTGAGGAAGAGAGCAAGTACAGGCAACTCTTTTTAAAAAGTTGATTTTGACGAAGGAAAGTGGGGCCAAATGTTGGTAACGTTTTGGGTTAGACAGAGACTTGCTAGTTTTAAGACGAAAAGACACGACTATGTTTAAATGAAGAAAGATATGAGCTCCATGAAACTGAAGGTACAAAAAAGAAAGGCTATAATCTATTGTACAAGGGCCCTGAGGAGGTGGGAAGACATAGCGGAAGAATTTGCCTGAAATGAGAAGGGGCTCACCTCTTCCATCGTAAGCCGGCTGAATGGGAGTTGTGGGCATGACTCGAGCAGTTCAGACGCACCACATTTCCTGCTGCTCTCTAATATCCCCAAACCTGTCATATTTCCCCTTTTGCATGTGACAGTCTAATGATAATCCTGAAGCATATACAGATATATTTCTTCTCCATTGATAAAGCATCATATAATCTTCTGGAGACACAGGCTCCATTAAAATAATTTCTCAATTTCCCCATTGTACGTAACTGCCTTCCATGAAGCTTGCCACTAAAATGTCACTTGACTGAGAGGAGGTGGTGTTGGTGACTAGAAAATGTATGTCTTGAGAGCATGGTGTTCTTTTACTTGTGGAATATGAAATATCTGCTTCCAAATTCCTCAAGGTCCTTCTCCTTGGAGAAGGGGTTTTCCTCTTGCCAGATCATGCCATTCATCCCCTGTGTTAATGTCTATAGACTAGCAAGGAAATGTGCCTAAATTCAACAGCTTGCCAGCACCTAAGAGAAATTATCAGAAATATTGTCCACTTCCTCTTATACATTTCTCTCTGGAAAATTTTTTCAATTTCACAAGGTTTTATCATCTATATTATAGGGATTTGTTTTTAATTCTTCACAATTTCCTTACACTCCTCCAAAGGAATCTTTAACAAGTACAGTTCTCTTTTTCAATTCTGCCCTTGGTGAGTCAATTTATAGTGTGGTTTGATATTTTATTATTGTCAAATATTGCTTATAAGAGAGAGGCTTTGGTTTGGTAACAACTAAACACTAAAAAAGAAAGGAAAAAAGTTGTTTTTTTTGTTTGTTTTTGTTTTTTTAAAGAGAGGCTTTGGGAAAACTGGCAAACTTTCTGCTCTTCCAAAGGTTACTTGTTATATGACTGATCTCCAAGCATTTATTTATCTGAAAAAATCTGTTTGTGATTCTGCCTATGTCAGGGCAGCAATGGCTACAAGATACTTTGAAAGATGGTGGGATATGCCACACAGGGTATGGCATACCCTGTATGAACCTCAGGGTAAATCATGTTAAATAGAACTGTTCTCCTCCCATCTGCCAAAGCACATTTATTTTTCTTCAAACCAAAATGTAGTTTGACCTCCAGGTAGGTTTCCTAAACAACCCTGCCCTTCTCCATTCCTCCTAGTGCCACCTTGAGCTGGCCTTCTTCTGAATACTCTTTCATTTATTGGTAATTGTGACTCACTTATGTATACTTATGCTTTGCTAGCTTCTTTCCCCCTTTGGAAATTAATCTCAGCAGAAACTGAGTTGAATCTCTTCTACGTATTCCTAAGCATAGCTGTCCTTTGAGCACTCCATAAATATTTGTCTACTGACTGGTTGAAGATTTAGTCTCACACAAGTGCAGATGAACTTCATCTCATTTTAGAACTCTGATGGGAAATATGACTGTGTTACACAAGATTCCGGGTCTTTTCCTACCCTCGGGTGAATAAAGAGCCATAATCAATTACAAATGTCTGCTATGGGACTGAAAAGATGGCAAGAAGAGGTGGAGACTGTGCCGCTGTACCAAGAGTTTGCCACTTCGTTTTAGTGGGGCATTGAATGGTTGATTGTATTAGTCCGTTTTCACACTGCTATAAAGAACTACCTGAGACTGGGTAATTTATAAAGAAAAAAGGTTTAATTGACTCATAGTTCTGCAGGCTGTACAGGAGGCATGGCTGGGGAGGCCTCAGGAAACTTACAATCATGGCAAAAGCTGAAGGAGAAGCCAGCTCATCTTACATGGCTTGAGCAGGAGGGAGAGAGCAAAGGGGGAAGTGCTACACACTTTTACAACAACCAGACCTCATGAGAACTCACTATCATGAGAACAGCAAGGGGAAAGTTCCGCCCCCATGATCCAATCACCTTCCACTAGGCCCCTTTCCCAACATTGGGGATTACAATTCAACACGAGATTTGACTGGGGACACAGAGCCAAACTATATCATTGATGGTTTGATACAGGCTTTTGAGATACGTAATGTGTAGATATTTCCTTTAATTACTTAGCATGATGAATTTCATCAAACCTAAATATATATCAGTGGTTTGATTGGCTAGTTGGTGGGTGGGGTTTTTTTGGCAGGGGGTGGGTTTACCCTCCATTTCTTTAGTCTGACAGTATAACTTTTGGTCACGTGATTGTTCCATAAAATATATTGGGATTGCATACATCCTAATTTGCAGTAATTTTATTTTCTTGATAGACACAGTCTTCTGTAAATGGATTTTTATCTTAGCAAGTATTTTTTATATACATATTTTCTACCAACATAGCTAATTTGACTAGATGTTATTAAATAGGGAGAAAATCTAGCTCTAGTTCATGTTTTCTCTTGCTTAAGGAAAACAAAAATGCTCAACTTTTGTTGAAAATGAATGTAAGGCCAACGGTAACATTATTCAAAATATAATAATGTCCTTTTTAAGATAAAGTAAATTGGAGTTGTCTCTTTGTCACCCCAGTTACTGTCTCTAAGGCCACATTTCTGTTCTCATAAGATAGGTTATATGAAAAGAAATTGAAGCACCATAAATTACATTAGTGTAAGGTCACAAATTAATCACTTTATAACCTATTTTCTCTTGAAAACTCTTTCTTTATAGAAGTTCTACCAGAAAATGGCTCACACTATTGAACTTAATAGGTTATTACTACATGTTTTGCTCAGTATTCTAAGCCAAGTCATCAGGAAAAGATTATAGTTACCAGTTCCCATTGTCCTGTTTGACATCAATGAAAAGATGCTTTACTTATATTTTCATGTGTTATTTATCCTGTCAGAAGATATATCCATTTTATATGCAGCTAAAGTTCCTGGGGCTTTTCATTAATCAACTAAACACAGGATGTGCTTGAAGGAAGAGCTGTGGAAGGGAGTATTGCCCCACTGTGGAAGGGAGTGTTGCCAAACCCTTTTAGTAAAACTGAAATTATATTTTCTTGGTTAACTGAAAAAGAAAATGTTAATGATGGTGTGGACTAGCATCAGAATTAATTTTACTCTACAATTGAATTTATGGTCAAAGTGTCATATTCCTATTATTTAAGAATGTTTTGTATTATATCTTAAATAAAATTTATTAGCTGAATAAATATTTATATGCATGATATAATGGAATAAAAGAGGGAGCAATGGAGACTTTATTTCAATAAGTGAGTTTTATATACAACAGTAAATAATTAAATCCAATTGATTCCAGAACTCATAAGGCACTTCTTTTATAAGGATAAGTGCAGTATTGGTGTTAGATTGAGTCTATAACTTATAACAGTATCATACTTGGGAGGAAGAATTTGAATAGAAGGGCAGAACAGAATTTGAATCTAGTTCAAATGAGAGAAAATCTTTGTAAAGTGCTGGCATAATGAAGGAAGAAGTGATTTGACATTGGCATAGATTCTCTCTGCTGTCAAAGATCTGAAGAAGTCGTTTCATCCCACTGCCCCACATGGGGCATTTTAGCCAGTTGACTGCTGGTGGTCTCAGACAAAGAAGGAACACGTTCAACACCACCATCAAGGACTTTCGTAGTCTTGATTCTTAGACTTTGAATAACTCTTCTTTGAGTTCTATTAACATTCATCTTTATTTTTCTCAGTATTGTAGAATAGAATGTTTAGACTTCCCAGAATATTTTTTTCTCATGTAAAAGGCTCAAAAAAATGGTGTCTCTTCTGTATTTCTATCAGTCACTCTTTCTTCTTTGTCCTTCATACTTGAGTTAATCCATCTCATGCTTCAACCTCACTTTTGGCGTGTAATCACCCATGTTGTTTTGCTATCTCTGATGATGGAAGTGAGTTTGGTGGAAGCAAAGATGGCATTTGTCTGTGTCTATATCCCCAACTACTGACCTAGTGGTCAGCACTTAGCATGTGGTAAAAGCTTGTGAAAGAAGCGTTTCAAAGTTTAGTTCCAAATCCCATCACCTCGATAAATTACTGAACAAGGCACTTATTCTTTTTGAATATTTTTCTCATTTATAAAATGAGGCTAATGATATCTTCTCTCTGGGTTTTCATGACAAGCAAAATAATGATTGAGAGATTTGTACCATGTAAGATATGATTATTTTTCTAACCTTCAACTGGAGGAAATTCTGTCAACACACGGTTTTAAGTTTCCAAGTAGTATATTTCTGTGCATTCTGTTGGCATTCAATACTTACTGCCCACTGAAATGAGTCTTCTTCTTTTATCATAATATTCTTAAGATGCTTGCCTGGCGTCTTGGTTTCAAGGACCACCTCTATAAGAGACTCCACAATCTACACTTCAACACTTGATCATTTACCTCTGCCCAGAATCATGTCTGTAAGAATTAGCTCCATCAGAATTTCGTCCAGGAGTCCCTAGGTGGACACCTTGCTGCTTCTCCCTGCTACAACTCAATCTCTCCAAGTGCAACCCCTGTCCTTCTTAACATCACCTGATGGTGTGGGCACAGCTGGCTGTTCATTGCCCCTCCTGCTCCCACGGCTGCCCCAACCCCTACACACACCCACACCCCCCACCCCTACACACACACGCACACTCCCACATACACACACACGCACACTCCCACATACACACACACTCACACTCCCACATGCACACACACTCACACCTCCACCCCCACACACACACACACTCACACATTCACACTCCCACTCCCACCCCTACTTCTACACACACTCACATACACACACACTCTCACACTCCCACCCCGACATACACACACTCTGACACACACTCACACTGTCACACGCTCATACTTCCATCCATAACACACTCACACTCCCACCCCCCCCACACACTCACACTCCCATCGTCACATACACATACACACACACTCACACCCCCATGCCCACATACACATACACACACCCTCACCCCTACTTCTACAGACACATACACACACACTCACACCTCCACCCCCCCACACACACTCACACACACAACTGACGCTGGCTCGCGCACATGCTATTCCCAGAGCTCTGCTTCCGAGACGGTGGTGGCTCCCCGGGGCCGCACCTGTGCCTCCGCCGGGCCTGTGGGGTGAGTGGGATGCTAACGCCTGGCCTTGGAGAGAGATGTCTGGGAGGAGGAGGGGGGGACGTGCAAGGGACGATTGGGGGGTGCATTAAGAAAGAAACCCATGGAATATGAAAGCTGTGACGGGGACAGAAAATTTAAGAAAAAGCAGAAATTTTGTTTAAAGATTTAGGGAAAGTGTGGCTGTTTAAGAGACAAGCTCTGTACTCCCGTCCTCGTGAAGACTTCCATAAAATCTATACTATTTAAAGCTGCTTTTGGTGTTGAGTGTTGGAGTCTGTGAGTACAGGGTGAGGTCACGGGGTCCAATGGTCGCCTTGCCTGACGCCCTGTGGGGTGACTCCCACCTCCTTGGTCCCCTCCTCCTCAACCACCTGGCTGGGAGAGGGCTCGTACCCTCCTGCTTTGGGCTGCGTTCTCACTTTCACCCAGACCTCACGCTCCTAAACACCTCCTTGGATTTGGGCACATACGCGGTGGGGCCTCTTCAGCTGTAGAGTCATTAACCCTAAACTCCTTGTTCATGGAATCAACAGCCGACTGTGCCGTCCTCACCCTCGGGGCGCTGCCCTGTGGAGGGAACGTGGTCCATTCCGGAGCGCAGCTCTGCCCATGTTTGCCCGGTGACCTCGACCAGTATCCCCCCTCAAGTAAACGAGGGCTGCATCAGGCTTCCCTCCTCGCCCGTAGCAAGGGGCTTGCCCTTTTGCTTCTGCACCATAAAAGCACTCATGTTCCAGAAAGACTTCTCATAACATCTGCTTGAAATTTTACTCCCCAAAATCGGACTTTTCTTACTAATTTCTAATTCTTCTCAAAAGGCAACTCAAGTCTATGTGACATATTTATCTGCCAATCTTTCTCCAATTCTTAATGTAAATTATACAGAAAATTGGTATTTGATATTTTTCGGCATGTTTCCTAGTGAAAGATAAGATTTTATATACCATGTAAATTTCATTACCTGAGAGAGGGGAAGAAAAAAGGTGAAAGGTACTGCTGAACCTGTACACTGCAACAGTTTAATTTAAATTTATGATATGCTGTCATTGGGGAAAAAATCAGTAAAATATCTGAATGTTCACTTAACATATTTTCAACAAAATCTCATTTTTTTCTCCTCAAGTCTTTATTTGATTTACACACCAAGAAAAGCAGAAAGGATGGCAGGTTCAATTACAAAGCTAAGTCTTGAACTTTATGTTCATTTCGCTTTTAACAGGTGTGTGTATGTAATACGCAGCCCTTCCGTGATCATCTGACCTGGCCCTCTTGGGAGATGTGGCCCAGGCTCCAGGAGCCCTCATACCCTGCACTGTTTTTACACGATACATGCCTGGGGACCAGGGTTTTGGAAAAAGGACCTGGAGGGCTGAGCTGGCAGCTGAAAAGGCAGGGTACCAGGAGCCACCCCTCAATGGGCTAGGGCTAGGGACAGAGCTGGGAGCCACTCTACAGTTTGGTCTGGGTAGATGTGGGGGGTGATCTGAGTTGAGGTACATGTTTATAGCTTTTGAATGGAGAAGGTAGGAGGTTGATTTCTGGCAACCAGTTGAGAACCATGAAGCGGGTGTGTAGAAGGCAAAAGGGGAAAACCAGGTGAATGAGAGGCCATGGTAAACCCAAAGGGGGGGCACGGGCTGGGGATGGAACAGATGAATCCATTCTAATGCCAAGTCCAGCCCCCGTCTGGCATTCCTGACATTCATACCCATTTGTGAGTAAATCTGGCAGAAAAGAAAGTGAAGGGGGAGACGTGAGGGTGGGCTCAGACTCAAAAACAGTCATGTCACTGCCTAATTGCTTTTATCCAAGTTAAAACAATTTTTTTAAACCAATGATGTTAGCTGAGGCAAAGCTCTTTAAAAGAAAAAAAGATTTTTTTAAACTTATTGAGCTATAATTTGTTACTGTTTTCATCCATGCAACAAAAAACTTGGGATCAAACATTAGAAAATTAAATTAGGTTCATGCACAACCAAAGATCTTTTCTCTTGCCCTATGGACCTACTGAGTCGAAATTCCATTTTCCGTCTCCTCACAGCATTTCAGAGAAATGATTATCATCTGATGAATTGCACTAAAAGCAAATCACTAACAGATAGATCAGCACCATTCTTCTATTAATTAATGCCACTGTGTGTTGTGTATGTAACAAATGCAAATTATCGCATAGGGCAACATTGATTTTCTTTTCCATGCATTCCTCAGTACAATTCAAATGTGTTTTGGAAACTGCCCTGGACTGGGAGATTGCAATCATTGTAGCATTTTCCTCTTGATTTATAAGGCTCAATTATCTTTCTTTGGTTGTATGAAATGTCTTTTCTAATAAAAGAGCCAAAAAGTGAGAGACAGCATTTCTAGCACCAGGCACAGAAGGGTGATGGGATAATATCAAATTTCCTATGGTTTAGCAAACATTGACAAATAGGGGAAATTAGGATTGCTCATCCAATATGTTTTGGCCTCAAAGGATTCAGCTAATAAAGTAACTAGAAAAATTAAATATGTGTAAGCCACAGCACCTTTAGAATACTTCACAGATTACCGAGTTGTGTCATTTATGGCAATGAATGTTTCCAGGCTGCAAGCAAAAAATTTATTTTTCACTTTACTTGAAAAGAAGATGATGCCTCCAAATATCACAGGGAATTGTTTCTTTTGTGTCCAAATGAGTTGAGATCTAAACCAACATTTAAATGGGCTTCAATCATGAATTGCAAAATGCAGTTGAAATGAATATTGTTTTGCTGATAGTTTAGTCTGAAAGCAATTGTCTTTTTCCCTACAGATACAGTGCCTCCTTCATTAAGTGACTTTTAGTTATTTTTTCATAACAGGCCATTATTTGTTTGAACAAATAAATTAACCTGGGGAGACCAACCATGACCCGCATTGGACTTTTCTGCCTGTAAGCAAGGCGTGGTCCAGGAGTCATAGGTTACGTGATGTATCACTGGCTGGTGCCACTGATTCCACTCTGAGTACTGAAGCTGTGGGCCTGCTATTAAACAAATGTCCCGAACACCCAAGTCTCCCTGGGCCCCCAGCTGGCTGTTGCTGACAGTGCCACACAGTCACTGTGAGGACAGAAGTTCCACGGGGAAAGGGGAGGGGCATGTGCCTGGCACCAAGTTATGCCTTCAGTAGAAATGTGTCCAGCGTGTGAATGTTCACGTACACTCTGTGTTTGTGTTGCCCAGTGGTACCCAAGCGTATGCCTGCACCCCCAACAAGCTTCTTGGGGTTTTCATTAAGGACATTTCCAAGCTCCCAAGTCACTTCCTGTGTGTGTCAGAAGTGGCTCTTTTCATTTCCAAGACTGTGTAGCTGGTTGGCATCTACTTGTACCTACACGCCCACACACACAGCAGGAGCCGCGGGATGGTGGACCACCCCTCAGCTCCTCCTCTCTGGGTCCTCAGTCACCACCTAACCCACCCCAGTGGTCTCCTCCAGGTTCTGGTCCTGTCTGTCCATCCGCTGAAAAACTGAAGATGCTTAGAGTCTAAAAAACTTGAGTGAAACCCTGAAACACTAACCTGATGGAAATTTATTATCTAATTTAGAAGAGAAGCAAGTGTCTTAATTGTCTCCTTGTTTTAACCAACAGAAGAGATTTCACCTGGGTCTCCAAGGCCCAGCTGCTGAGACTTAGTAACTGAGGCTAAGAAGCTATCTCACCCTGGTTAAATAAACAGGGTCCGTGATTGATGGTGTCTGTACAAAAACGAAATGTAGTCAAACAGAGTAAGCAGAGACTGAGCAAGCATTTACTAACATGTGGGCATCTGACAAAGCATTCTTACATTTGTAGTCTTTAATTTGACACAGAGATTTTGTCTGTAATGTCTTTGGCCACTTTTGTGTGTTCATTCAGTGATTCACAAAGACGAATAATTTCAGTGCCATGTGTGATTGTATTTCAAACAAAACTGAGTGTCCTAATCTGGAATATAGTCTCCATTTCATTTTGTAGGACAAGATAGAGCAGTTTGTTTCATACCATTCATTTAAATCATTTTTTTTCCTAAAAGAAAAGCTTTCTTAAGTCTCTTTCTTAATTCCTTCATTTGCATTCAGTTTGGGTGGAGCTGATTGATGACGTGTTTCCGTGTGAGCTTCATCGAGGATCTGTGCTTGAATCATCTAGTATTTTCTGTAAGGTCGGGCCAAGGAGACCTAACGTGTGCTAAACTTTACAAGCACATTTTAGACACTGAAAATACACTGCCGTGCCTTGCAATTGCACAAATCATTTAAGAGCCCCTCTGTCATGGGAATAAGCTGCCTCCCTTTGTCATGCACTGTGTTCTGTATTTTCGAAAGGAAGGCCCAGCACTGACCATATTTCCTCCTACAAGGCCCCAGCCCATCAGCACAAGAGCTCGTGAGGCTGAACTCAAGCCCCGGAGATCAAAAGTCCCATACTGTGGAAGCTTTAAGTATCTCATTCAGGATTCCATGAAACATTGCTTCATTTCTCAATACGTCTGTCCTCCGAAGGCACCAACTCATTCAGTTGCTAAACTAATTCTTCATTTTCATGTAATCTTTTGGGAGAATAAAAGTGAGCAGTACTAAAATGAAAGTGTTTTTTAAACAATAATGGTGCCAGAACATGAGATTTTTAACCTTGGCAAACAAAGTATTTTAGCCACTAAAAAATTGCAGAGCTGTAAGAAATTGCTGAAAACTTCAATAGAGAAAAATTAATTCCCCGTTATGCTTCTCTTTTTAGTAACCCATCGACAAAGAAGTGAATTGTCCTCCATGTTAGCGAAGTGGGGAGGTCCAGACTTGCTCCTTGTCTTTCTACCATTTTCTACCATCATTGTATGTAAAAGTCTAATCTTCATTTTAAGTCAGTTTATGCTTCCCAGACTAAACTCTGCAACAAATAATATGAATGTCACACATTTCATCATTTGTAATTAATTCCAAACTAAATAAAACAAGGAGTTGTGAAAGTTGTTTTTCCCCTAGGATGTTCTACGTACATTTAGTAATAGTTTATTATGGCTTTATCTTTTAAAGTCTACTTTCGCGGCACTTTTTAACTTAATTCTGTTAAACTACTCTTGGAAACTATCGATTCTATAAACTATGCCATTTTCAGAGACATAAAATTTTGTGCCTGAATTATAATTATAGCCTAAAGCCAAATATAATTTAGCACATTATCAGACTGGGGGTATTTTTAATACTAATCAGGGAGGACCCTCACTAAATATGGCTTTGTTCATTCAAAAATCGCACAGAGCCGGCGTCTCCGTGACAGGTTTGGAGAGCCGCACGTTAATATGGTTAGTTCTAAGTCAGCCATTAAGGAAACAGAATGGATCACGGGGTTCATAGAGATGGAGCCTCAGTCCTCTTCTCCTATTTATCTGCATTCATTCCCTTGGCCATCTCAAATTCAGCCTCACAGTTTTCAACACCGTCTCTGCACTGATGGTTCCCTCATTTGACACCCCTCTCCCCACCACACACTCTGAGCTTCTAACTCCTGTGTCCGACTTCCTAATCAGCCGCTGTGCTTGGATGTCCAGTAGGCCTTTTAAACTGAAGGCGCTCAAGACAACTCTTGACTCGGTCTCCGGGCATTTTCTGCCCCTACTCAGGTCTTTGGCCACCTAACTACATGGGACCACTATCTATGATTTACCAAGAACCGTAAAGTTATCTTGAAGTCCTCATTCCTTCACCTTTACCTCCTACCTCCAAATTCTGCAGCAGCAAAGCACTGCTCTACTCCATGGTCTTCATGAATCTGCTCACCCCTCAGCGCCTCCACCTCTGCCTCTTGCCTGGATTGCTGCAACGGCTTCTAAAAAGTCCCTCTGCTTCCGGGACAGCCCATCGTCCACTCAGTAGCCAGAATGGTCTTTCTCAAAGTTCAATGAGATTTTGTCACTCCCTTGCTTAACATCCTCCAATGATATTCCATGACGCTTAGAATCAATGTCAGTGCCCTTACCTTTGCATATAAGAGGTAACATCACCTCACCCTATGTATCTCCCTGACCCCATCTCATCTCTTTCTTGTTTGATATTCTCCAGTTGCATCAGAAGTCTTGCTGCTCTTCCAGCACACCAAGATTGATGCTGCCTCAGGGCCTTTGCACCAGCTCCTTCTTCTGCCTGGACACTCTCGCCCTGGTTCTGCGCATGGCTCCTTTCTCCTTTTTGTTTGGATTGCTGCTCAAATTGTGCCTCCACATGGAGGCTTTCTAAGTGATCCAGACCTACAGGCTCAGGCACACTCTATCCCCTCACTCTGTTTTCTTCTTCATAATATTTACAACCATCTGAAATATGTAATGTTTACATAGCCGTTTGCTTAATACCTGTAAGATTCCACCAACTAGAGAGGCAGCATGTGAGAACAGGGGCTCTGTCTCACTCCGTGTCAGCTGCCTCTTGCCCAGAGGGTGCTCAGTAAGCATTTCTGATGATTATGTGACGTTAGAAGCCATCACTTACATACAAATTTTCTCATTCCTTGTTCAACATTTACACATATTTATTTTTTCACAAAGGATTTGAAACAGCTTTAGGCAAAAACAAATACAATGAAAGTCAAAAATAGAAAACCTAGCACCAAGGAAAAAAATACAGGAGAAAAGAAAAACCCAAAGCAAGGTGGCCAGTTACAACATTATCATGAGAAAGTAGGAAAGCACAGAGTATACTGTGCTTTAACAGAATAAGACTTTTCCTAAGATAAAATTCTAAGTGAAGGTCACACAGTACAGGGCAATGTCCTCAGCAGTATTTGTAAAGCAAATGCAGTGGGCCTTTTCAAATGGCTGTTTCTTTGATCATGGCCAAGGGCCCAAAAGAAAATGCAGTATAATGAAGGGGGATCATTAAGGGGCTGAGTTCATACGCTCCAAGAATAGAGTGCTCTGGTATCCTTACTTGAACCAAGAAATGACTTCCATTCTAGAAGGTTTACCTAATAACATAACCAGCATTTTTTATTGCTAAGAATTAAAGGGAGTTTCATAATTCAATGAAAATAAAGCATTAAAGAAATGCTAGTGTAAATATGTGTCCACTCATATTGCTCTAGCTAGAAACCCTCAATCTGCCACAGGCCTGCCACAGCCCTGGAGGAGCGCTCCTTATGCTCCTTCTGTGAATGTTCTCCCATATGTTTCCTACTCCCTTAGAAAAATAGGTATTATTATTATTAAAAGCATTAAGAGATATTAAGAATTGCAATGTGCTTTATATTATGTAGTTTATCTTCTAAAAAATTAAAATGCAAAATTGTCATCATGATGGATCTTCTGTCACATATAGATTGTGAAGTTCAGGAGTTGGTATTGAGCAGAACCTGCTTCTAACAATATTGAGCATTCCTTTGACCACAGTTTGATGAGGTCCCAGGAGCACGCTCTATTTTTAAAAGCATTACTTAAAAAGCACTCCTGGAAAGTCTTCAGTGAGCCTCAGGTCAAAGCTGCAGTCATTTCTATTAGGACCCCCCTCCATAACAAACAATCTTTAACAGACACCAAGAAGCCTGCTGTTAACACAACCTCCTACTTCACCGTCTACCTGCCACTGTCCCATCTCATCAGTAAACAAGCAGCTATTTGTCTCTTTCCGTTAAAAGCACCTACCCCCAACTTCAATCAGATTAAGAAAAATTCTTTTCTACTTTTTCCCTGTGAAGTTGGTTTTTATTCTATGTATTAAAACCAGGGTCCTTTGAAAGATACACTTCTGTAACATTGGCACGGTAGAGACACAACTGCATGTTGACGAAGTATATAACCTCTCCTTCCAGCAACACCACAGACTTCCAGGTAAAGCCAAAGACTCGTTTTCCTATGCTGCAAAGCCATCTCCAAGAAAATGCTACCTCCATGCCCCACTGAATGGCAACAAGGGTCATCAATATTTTGCAAAGGGCAAATAGAGAATGGCAAGAAAGAGACACACAGTGCCAGGCGGAGAGGTTGTTGAATGTTGCATGGGTGGGGTGAGGAGCCTGTCACAATCATGTGCCCCGCAAGAAAGATTCCCTTCTTTGTTTCATTCAGCTGTCGCTGAGAATCAAAGAATGCATTAGTAATTGCTATTGTTTGTAGCATTTCTTGTGGTTCATAGCCAGATGACCATCCTTTACTGAAAAGCTTATTGTGTGGGGATTGCTCAGCACCCTTTCAAGATATCTAGTGTTGGTTTGCGGGGCAAGAGGGGAGTGCATATTTTATGCAAAAAAAAAAAAAAAAGATTTTGTGCTACCACATTCCTCAATTATTCTAATATTTTCCCCAATAGAAATATTTCCTCATAATGCAAACACACTATTCCGAGAAGCAGAATACTTTTCTGGATCTAAGTTGTCTGATGGTTTCTCTGGGTGATGTGCTGCATGGCAATTGCTTTCCCATGAAGCCACAGAATTCCCAATTTCCAACAGGAGCCCAAATCTAATCCAAAACTCTATTTCACATCTGACAACTATTAGGTTTTCTGATAGCCTTGAGTAAGCAATGACATGTGCTTCTTTCTAGAAAAAGGGCATGACCCTCTGTCCACTTAAGACGAAGCTGAGGGAGGCCAAGGCGGCCAGATCACGAGGTCAGGAGATCGGGACCATCCTGGCTAACATGGTGAAACCCCGTTTCTACTAAAAAAAATACAAACAATTAGCTGGGCATGGTGGCAGGCGTCTGTTGGGACACTACTCGGGAGGCTGAGGCAGGAGAATGGCGTGAACCCGGGAGGCAGAACTTGGAGTGAGCCGAGATCACGCCACTGCACTCCAGCCTGGGCAAGAGAGCGAGACTCTGTCTCAAAAAAAAAAAAAAAAAAAAAAAGACAAAGCTGAGAATCTGGTTTGTTCTTAATGAAACCAATAGAAAGTCGGTCACTTAAGTTTTCAATTTATAGTGCTTTCTTAGCCATAACAGAATGAGAAACATGTTTTGATCATGTCTAGTGGCCTGTACGCTGAAACAAGGATGCACGCAAAGTCTCTGGGTCAATATTATGTTGCCTGTAGAGTGGAGGTTGCCCTCAAACTCAAATTTCTCACTGCATTCCAACATTATGGAAATGGCATGGCTAATCATTTCAAAAGATCTGAAAATACTAATACATTTTCAAACATAGAAATTGTCCATTTAAAAAAAAACATGCCCATTATCCAGCCTTTCAATATGATTAAATTCATTTGTTACATTTATTTGATTTGTTTGGGGCCAAAATAGCCGGCTGGCAAGTGCATATCACCAGTACAAACCTTAAGTTATGAATATGACTGAAAGGTCCCAAGTTAATTCTAGTTAAGGGCATGAGCCTTTCAGAAGGGGGATCCTGATGGGCCGGAAGTGGAGCCAACTCTCTCGCCTCCTGTGCCTGCTTACATTCCTGGTTTGGAGCAAGTTATTAGATTCCATGGGACCTAGTGGTCTCCGGGTGCTGTGGAGATTGTGTCGGATGCCAGGCCACGAAGACTTAGCAACCAGCGAAGTTTCTGTGGTTTCCTGGCAGCAGAAGTTGACTGTGAAGTGTGAGTTTGCTTGGATGACAGGGCACCCGGCTCCGTGGTGACCGGCTTCTGGGTTGGCTTCTCAGTGCAAACTGAAGTTTGAGTCAGAAAAGGCTGTTGTTTAAATTGGAGTGTCTTTTATGCCAAACCAACATGGATGCTCCTTTGTTCTCAAAAGGGAAGTGACGCCAGCTGGCCAGTCTGAGGCTAAGTATTTGCACAAAGGCTGACCAGATGACACACACTCCTTGCCCATTGTGGTTCCC
Organism: Homo sapiens; assembly: GCF_000001405.40. Classification (NCBI taxonomy): domain Eukaryota; kingdom Metazoa; phylum Chordata; class Mammalia; order Primates; family Hominidae; genus Homo; species Homo sapiens. The sequence continues at coordinate 163,249,979 of NC_000006.12, forward strand.
ACCGCAGGGAATGTCCATGGCAAACTCTCTGGAATGATCCTCTAGGACTGCCACTCTTGTGAATAGTTGGTGGCATTCTTCCAAGTGGTCATAAGGTGATAGACACATTTTTCTGATCATCACATTGTCCATTGCAGGAAACAACAGTTGCACCATTTTTGTAAATGGTAGCTAATGAAGCAACACAAAGTTCTGATAAAATAAGAACAGAGGTAACAAAGCAACAGACTGCCCTCTTAATGGCGCCACCAAAATGTGCTGTAAGATTGAATTTGCACCATAACCATTGAAAAATAGGAAGTACAAAACCAGAGATATTTTTCCTTCCCGCTGATTGCCTGGTCATGAGACAGACTGGAACAGTGCTTGGCTATAAATTTGTTAGCAGCTGAAATGCTCGGGGGCCCCATGCACCGGAGTTCTGCTCCTCCACACTGCTTCTGCAGAATTAGGAGAAAGCATTGCATTTTACTATCTTTTAAAATTATGAATATTGGAAACTTTGCTGAATTCTTTTATCAGTTCTAGGAGCTTTCTGGAGGAGTCTGTAGGTTTTTCAAGGTAAACGATCATATCGTCAGCAAACAGTGACAGTTTGACTTCCTCTTTACCAATTTGGATGCCCTTTATTTCTTTAAGAACTAGAAGTAGAACTACCATTTGATCCAGCAATCCCACTACTGGGTATCTACCCAGAGGGAAAAAAGTCACTATTAGAAAAAGATACTTGCACAAGCATGTTTATAGCAGCACAATTCACAATTTATGTTTATGTTTATAGCACAATTTATATTTATTTTATAGCACAATTTATATTTATGTTTATAGCAGCACAATTCACAATTGCAAAATTGTGGAACCAACCCAAATGCCCATCAATCAATGAGTGGATAAAGAAATTGTTGTATATATATATATATATATATATACACTATGGAATATTACTCAGCCATAAAAAGGAATGAATTAACACCATTTGCAGTGACCTGGATGAGACTGGAGACTAATATTCTAAGTAAAGTAACTCAGGAATGGAAAACCAAGCATCATATGTTCTCACTGATACATGGGAGCTAAGCTATGAGAATGCAAAGGCATAAGAATGATACAGTGGACTCTGGGAGCTTAGGGGGAAGAGTGGGAGGGGTCAGGGATAAGAGAATACATGTTGGGTGCAGTGTATACTGCTCGGGTGATGTGTGCATCAGATTCTCACAAATCACCACTAAAGAACGTACTCATGTAACCAAATACCACCTGTACCCCATAACTTATTGAAAAATAAAATATTAATAATAAAATTTAAATAAATAAATAAAATTGTGCATATTGGAAAAGAACTGGGATCATGCAGCCTTTATTGGGAACTTCTGAAACCTTATCTCTGCACTTTGGAGGTCGTTGCACATTCGATAGTGATGGAGAACACGTCGGGGACTTCCCGGAATGCAATGATTATGTATTTTAGTGGATCTTAAACTGGTTTCCCAATATTCAATCATAATCTTTGGCAGCCTGAGTGGCAGAAACATTTGCTTTCTATGGGGTCCTGATTTTTAGCTAATATTTTGGGAACACTCTTAGTGTGTATTAATCGTCCTCTTCTTTGGCCATAGCTCATGAGGTCAACAGTATAAGGGATGAGAGTGAAGATCCCTGTTACTCATCCATTCTGTATTGCGCTGCTCGGACCTCCACAGGAGAAGTTAGGGCACGAAATCCAAGTGGCAGCTCATTATTGGCATGCAATGTAAAATACAAATTCCAGGATGCTCAGACTTCCAGGACATCTGAGATATAGCCTTTGGAAAATAAGAAATGGGCTTGCGATCATAGTTAGTTATTACTACTGGGGGCCGTGGGGCCTGATTTGGGGTCTTTATCATCTACTAGCTGAGCGACCTTGGGTAAATTGCTTAACCTTTCCATGGTTCTTCAAATGGAATAATAATAATATCAACTCTGACTGTTACATGGTTCGATGTAATGGATGAAGGTTGAAGGAGACAAGGCACCTGTATACCTGGTCTAAGCCACAGCTAAGCACGGTGTCTCTGCACAGTAAATCCTCCCGAGCTGTCTGGTGATCAGTGTTGCCTTTTGTGTTGCTTATCCACACCGCAAAACGCTCCCACGTGCGTTTCCTGCCTGCCTCACAATTACCCCACAAGACGGGTGCACTGCATCTCACAGAGGAGGAAGCAGAGCCAAGAGACAGGCCTGGTGCACGTGAGGGCCGCAGCCCCTGCTGCTGTGAGCACGCCCTCTGCACCCACTGAATATTCCCCAAGCATCGCTGACGCTCGGCCAGGCGCCGGCCTTCGTTCCTAGGCTGTCATCTCTGGACAAGGCAGACGCAGGCCCTGCCTTCGTGGAGTTTAGATGAGCAGCAGGGGGGCGACATCATCGGGGAAACAAATCACTGCACGGGTGATTCTGGGATGGTAACTGCTAGGAAGAGAATCCAGTCCAGGCAGGGGCCGGAGAGGGCTGGGTCCCGTGGCTCTGACTGAGGAGGTGACGCTTGAGGTAGGCGCTGATGAGAGCCCCGCTGTGAAGGCCAGAGGGGCAGTGCTGCAGGCGGGGCTCACCGTGCAGAGTCCGTGACTGTCATCTTTCCACTCCTAAGT